>NC_000010.11:107567337-107870368 GCF_000001405.40 Homo sapiens | reverse complement strand
GGCAGGGTCAAAATGATCGCCCTACCTAAAGAGGACAGTGGATGTCCATCTCCAGCCAAATGTTACACTCTGGCAAAGAAAACTCAGAGAAAGAGCCGAAAAGCTTTTGAGTTTTGTTTCTAAAGCTCGCTCTGGTCCCAAGCAAGTGACTTGCTTTGGACAGTAGGATGTTAATAGGTATTATTCATGCAGAAGCTTAAAACCCTACTTGTATCAGCCCACCTTCTCTTGGAATTCTGCTACCATAAGTACAAGCCTAGGCTAACCTGCCTGAGAATTAAAGATCACAAGAAGATAGCAAAGGTGTCCCATACAACCAGCCTAGAGCCAGCCAACTTCCAAACATGCTGGAGCCCAACCAAGATCAGCAAAAACACTTATGCAACCTGTAGCTGACTGAAGACCCATAGTGAGCCCAGCTAAGTCTGGCCTAGTTTAGCAGAATTGCTCAATTATCCCATAGATTCATGAGAAATGATAAATATTGACTATTGTGTGACACAGGTTTTGTGGTAGTTGGTTACACAGCATTAACATGCCAATAGATAACTGCTACACCATCCCATAGAAAGTGATCAATAAATGTTAGCTATGTACACTCATATTTCAGTGAAACTAAGAAGCTTTGACAATGGCACCGTTCTGCTTTTCCCAGAAGCTTTCTACAGAAAGTTTTCATACAATAGCACTATAACTAACATATAGCTAATAGTGACTGCTATATTCCATCAATTATCAGATGCATCCTGAATTAAAAGCCATTACAATATAAAAATTCTGCTTATTATAGAAAATTTCATCAGTACTCCACAAGATACTTGTGATTGGTGAACGTAGCTGCAACCTGGCTCCTTGGAACCATTGTGCTACAGAAATAAAGGTTGTCAGGTTGATACAATACAAAATCAGAATTTGGGGTCCATGAAAAACAGGGTTGCTAGATAGTGTATGGTGAATTGTCTCCTGTGTTAAAGCAGGTAAGGTGCCGTCCTCTTTGATCTCCTAGGTGACCAGAGAAGTTTGACACACACCCATGAGGGCTTCCACGTTGCCAAAATATCACAAGGACAAAGGCTTGAGAAACAAGCCTTCCTTTCACACTTGCAATTGGAAGGGATAAAATATGGTCCCTAGAGTCTCTTTATGCTAAATTAGGATATTGTTTAATTATACTGCCCATAAATGATACGGACACAGCCAGTGAGATTTTAAATACTACAATTAAAGGTATTCATTGCATGTTTTGCTTTCTATGTTTCTTCAGGGCTTGTGCACTACCTAGAGACAAGTTAATATTTTATTCCATTATTTCAATATTTTATAGTTTTTAATAGAGTGAGGAAAATGAGGTTAATATTTGGCATTTATACTTTTAATGGCAGTTTACAGGCATTAGAAGAAAATCAATAATGTCATTTCATTACTATTCATCATTCTACACCAAAAATCATCTCCAGGTTAAGACCTACATTTGGCCCCAAATAACCTTAACCTGAATCTATCTATCTATCTATCTATCTGTCTATCTATCTATCTATCTATCTATCTATCTATCTATCTATATACACACACACAGACTCTTCATCTTAAAATCCCCAAAAGTATCTTTTAGATGAAGGCCACTGCAAAGATGAGTGTCTCCAAAGCGTTTGACAAAATGATGACACCACAGGGATCTGGCTTGTCACTTACACAATGAAAGCCACGAGGGGGTAGTTCTCAGTCAAGAGGAATTAGCCTTCCATAGCTGAGTGATGAGCTGATTCTGAATTTTATCTTTCCAAGAAATTCCTGTTACTCCCCTGTGTCCATGTCTAAGAAAGGACCTTTGCCTTATTAATGATCAGGCTTGGGAACCAATCTACTAAATTATCCTCTTTGCCTAAGATCCAGCTTCGATTTTCTGCCCAGACACCTTACAGTTCCCTGGGAGGGCAGAGGTACTGACCTAGTGGGGTGAGAGAGTATGGATTTGGGGATCACAAAGGTCATGTGTTAAAGCAACATATTAGTGAATATTTATTGAATAGTTTTTAATGTGCCAAGCTCTCTTCTAAGGTCTAAACGTTTGGCATTTGATTTACCACTCACATCAGACCTATTATATGGGTGCTGTTAATAGCTCTGTTTTACATTTAGAGCTGGGGAAACTTGAGACACAGAGAAATTAAGGGACTCACAGAGACCTTACAGTTACTTTGTGGCAGAGACAGTATTCAACTCCTAGCAGTCTGACTCCACAGGCTTCTCTGCGTCTGTCCAATGGAAGCCTTCCTCAGCTGGGCTTTGGTCATTTTCAGATTCAGACAGACACTTCAGATGAGCTAGAGGTGTTCGAAGAGGTAGGGGCATCTTGGTTCAGTTATGAAGTAAACTATGTGCAGTCACACAAAATCATATTCGGGAGGTTGTTTAGGGTTTCTCAGGGGTTGAGACAGAGTAGAGTTTAAGGTACATGACGTCAAGTGTCCAATGGCAAAAGGTGGGGTGAGTCTGGGCCCCAGTGGATGAAATGTCCTGGGAGTATAAAGATACACACACATCTGTATTCCCTCCCCTCTCTTGGGCTCCGCTCTCTCCTTTATGGTATTTGGGATTAGAGAGCAAGTGTATGAGTTAGATCTGATGCTAATTAGAACATATGTCCCCTTATTGCCATATGAAGACAATGTTCATTAATTAAACATTGTTTCCTTTGCTGTAGAAATTACAATAATGACATTGGTAATAGAAAATTCTACAGCAGAAACACATCAGAGTAATTTCTATTCTTGTATTTCAATATCAAAACTCTACTGTTTGAAACCATACCCACTCTAGGAGATTTTAAGGTGTTTCCATCTCTCTCTCCTCAGGAAACATCATAATTAGCTTTGAACCCTGGGGCTGTAAGGTCATCTAATTGTTTTTCCTGCCTTGGGCAATGTCAGGCAGGAACAACTCATTGTTTTAAAGCTATACATCTGCTTTATGCCACTTATAATATGGAAATATAAAAAAGCGTTCGTCTTTGAAAAATTCAGATGTATTTGATGTATATTGGTCACATGCCATATGCCTCAGAAACTGTTCTTGTTTGCAAGCCACAGAATCCAATTGTACTTATCTCTATCAAAAATAAAATGTGTAATCAAGCTAATTAGCATACCCATCACCTTGTATGTTTACCTTTATATGGTGATATATATGTGCATGAAAATATATGGTATACCTTTAATATAGAATTATATTACTATATAGAATTATATAATAGAGAATATATTATAGAATTATAATATAGAATTATATTACTATATATAATATAGAATATTAATTGTATGTATATAGATATAAATACATATCAATAAATAAAAACATAAATATCAATATGTAAAGATTTACATATAAATATATATCAATACATAAAGATTTACATTTAAATATATATCAATATATAAGGATTTATATATAAAAAATATAAATATATATTAGCCCCATCTTCTGGACTAATGATATAACTCTAAAAATCTCTTCCCACTATTTAAATATATGTATTTATATACACATATATCTTATGTGTACATATAAATACATATTTCTCTATTATGTATATATGTACAATATATTTTTTATATTTTATGTATATATAAATTATATATAGCTACATTATATTTATATATAGATACATATATTTAATACATATAAATACATATATTTTAATGGTGTGAAGAGATTTTTACAGAAAGTTATCATTACCCCAGGGGATAGGGCAGCAGGAGCTACAGCTAAGATTCTACAAAAGGATGGTATGATTCAGACACGTCTTAGCTTCAAGATTCAAAGTGCTGAAAAAATAAAACAGGGTATGTAAATGCTATAAAAACAGAGATAGGGAGGTGTTGAATGCTCACCAGGCAGAAACAAAAGTTTTCTTCTTTAAGCAAACGTAAAAACAACTGTGTGTGTGTGTGTGTGTGTGTGTGTGTGTGTGTGTGTGTGTGTTGCCTTATATAACCCACAGGTTTCTGAAAACCTTCATTTACAATGCATCTTACTTCAGTTGTAAAAGGGTAACTATGTACTGTCTAATTCAGGTGCTACTTCTTTTTGCAGCTACTAATGGAAAACAGAACCTCAAATTGATTTTGTTTAAAAGTGAAATTGCCCCATAATTGCTTTCTTCTAGGAAAGAGGCTGAATATGTAATTGCACTCCTTTGGGGAAGCACATTCTGAATTCTGCCAGCAGGAAGCTCCTCTCTTCAATAGATCTTGATGAAAGATTCCATCACAAATCCCATTACTTCAACCAGGCAATTATCTCTCAAGAACCAAAGGAGGAATCCTCTTTTTTTTTCCCCCTTTTCTTGGTGTGTGTGAGCATGTATGTGATCTTTTTCTACAATACATAGTATTTCAACCATGGCTCGAGTGGTTGATTTTATCCTGTTTTCCAAAGGATTAAATAAATCATATTTGTTAGTTGAGTGCCCGCTAGGGGTCCCTACGTTCTCTTTAAAGTCTACTTCTGGTAATGAGGCTTTCTTAGAGGACCACCAGCCCACGGAACATCTTCCCCTTTCTAGAATTCCACTGAGGCACAGTGTCTGAGGCACAGTCTCATGCTCGGTATCTCTGTTCTCTCGTCCTTTCCTGTGTGGGGGTCATATGTCCTCTTCTAGTCCAGGCTTTCTGGCAATTCTCAAGGGCATCTGGTAAGACCTAAACTCGTCTAATACTGTGAAGGAATTGATATGGTTATTTGCTATTTATGCATGTGAATTATGAGCATTAAAAAAAAGGCTTCCCCTCCCAATATCCACCTCAAGATGAATCAATAATTGGTCTTTGTGGTTTTTCTGGGCACCTCTTAGAATTTGTGCACATGAGCTGTTTGTCGAAGGAGGCTGTAACGAAAGGCCAGAAGCTTAAGCTGGCTTATAAAAAGAGCCAAGAAATTTAGGGGCCTTCTAGTCCCATGGAACCTAAGCTTGGGGACTTCAAGACCCAGTCAAATTTTTTAGAATGATAAAATACAGAGCTGAATTTGCTAAGTTAGCATATTAAAATTAAGACAAAGTAAAAGTAAATACAATGACAAAATGAAACTTCAGCAATTAACAAGGGATTTCAAATAAAGAACATTTTATCACAAAAAGGATGAAAGAATGTAATCTAAAATCAAAATAATTTATTTTGTATATATTTACCTTTAAATAAAATATACTTCAATTTAAACTTTTCCTAACTTTCAAAACACGTCATTGAACTCTACGATACTATACAACAGAGTATAATATACAGCATTATACTCTGCAATATGAATAAATCTCACAAACAATGCTGAGTTGAAAGAAGCCAGACACAAGATGACCCAAACTGTGTGGTTCAATTTCTAAAAATAAGATAAAGAGGTGAAGCTAATTTCTGCTCATAGAAGTCAGGGTAGTGGGATGTTGTCAAGTAGTAGATGGGAGGGTGTGTGGAAGGAAGGGTGGGGGCATTTCTAGGGTGCTAGTAATTTTGTGTGTGTGTTACAGATGATACTACACACATCTTTTCATTTTCTGTAAATTAAGCAAGTTGTACACTATTTTAGGTATACATTTTGCTATACTGTTCTTTGATTAGGATTTTAAAAAAGAAACGCCATCACAGCCCCATATGAACCTACAGGCATTTGTAAACCGCTGAACTGGTTCAGGTTCCCTTTTGACAGATGAGGAAACTGAAGACCTGAGAAGAAAACTAACTTGTTCAAAGTTACACAGCAAATCAGGGATCCAACTGGGAACTGAGTCCAGGCTTCCTCAGCTGCATCCTGGGACCTTGTCATGCTGTAGGCTTTCTCAGCCTGAGATCGTCACTGTGCTTGAGTTGTCTCTACCAGGAAGGGCCTGACTTTACCTTAAGATGCATACTCATGTGCAGGGTGCTTAGCAGCCATGTGATTTACACTGAATGAGTAAGACTTAGATGGATGTTGCCATCACTTCATCCTCACCCAGGAATCTGAGCACTTCTTAATGGATAACTGTCTCCTTCATACTTGTACATATCCAAGACATTGCATTATTTCTTTAATAATTTTTTTCTCTCTCTTTCTAAGACAAATTCTTCTTGAACATGTGGAACTCCCCAACCCTTCTTGTTTTATTTTCCCCTCACATTTGCATCATCTATCTTTTTCTTTTCACTGGTTCCTCCTCTCTGCCTACAAATATGTTCAATATCCCTCTGTCTCAGAAAATAAACAAGATAAATGAACACAAAGCAAAACTAACAGAGCAGCCTCTTTCCTCATCCCTGCTAGTGTATCATTAGGTATTTATTGAGTGCCCATAATGTGTCATTGTGCCAGCCCAGCCCACAGTTGGACAGGCCCAGGGTTCCCCTCTACTTAGTTTATTTCTTCATATTGTTTGATGAATCCAAGTAATTCTTAAGTTTTTTCACTAATCTCCAGTTTTCTTCTGAACCGACTGCTATCCGGCCTCCACTCTCAAGGTTCTACTAATACTGTTCTTTTGAAGGATGCCAAGGTCCTCCTGGTAGGGCATCCATACATCTTAATTCACCTAGGATAGTGACAGCATATGCCTGTCATTCTGGCACTCATAGTAATGGGCCCGTTTTTAAATTCTAAACAATTTATCAGATTGAAGAATAAATTATGTAGTCAACCTTATGTTTTAGTGACCACATAAATGGCCATTCCTGAGTCCTTGTTCACATCGACCCTTTGTCACATTGGGCATGGTGTGTATAATGGTTATGTATGTAGGCTTTAACATAGAGCCCTGGGTTCAACTCTTGATTTTCTTATGTAAGATATGTGTGATCTCAGGCAACTTACTTGATCACTCTGATCTTCAATTCCTTCATCTTCTAAAAGGGCACAGTAATAATAGCATCTACCACACGATATACTTAGAAAGGTTTAACAAAAATGTATCTAAAGTGTGTTGAGCAGTTTTTGGCAGTTACCATTCAATAAATGGATCTATTTCCTCCCTGTGTCTTCCTTGTTGAGTCTAATGCAAACTCATGCTCCCCACAGTCTCTTCTTATTTCCAGTGATGTTTCTTGGGTTACTTTCATCCTCTTACCCTTTACTTGCTCACCCACACTCACTGTGGTCTCTGTTTTTATTTTTTCTGTGTTCAACACTACAGTAGAGCCTAATGGTTAAGCTTCATGGTCTGTGCTGAGCAGTCAGACCTCATAGGTTCATCATCCCAGCTCTGTTACATGCTAGCTGAGTGTACTTGAACAAGTTATTTTACCTTTTCTTGCCTTGGTTACTATAACTATAAAATGAGGTTTATTGAAGTATGTACCTTTGTAGTTTCTAACAACTTTAAAGCAGTTGTTACAAAGATTGTGAGCTAAGACAGGTACTCTATGCTTGGCACAGTGCCTGTGACAGAGTGAGCACCCACAAAATATTAGTTATCACTATTCTCATTCACCAGATGAGAGATTTCAGTCCTGGATTTATTCTTCCCTCTTCCCGGCCCCCATGTAAGAATCTGTGATTAGTCCTGTGCGTTTGTCCTCTGTGGAGCCCCCACAAATCCTCTCCTTTCCCTCCACACCACTCTTACCTCAGTTTATACCTTTGTTCCTTCTTTCTGTTCTACTAGAATAATTTCCTAACTAGTTTCCTTGCCTGCATATGCCCCCCAAAATCTATTATTGATAGCAAAGCACTGCTTATGTCACTCTTTGACACTAAGAACTCCTATGGTTCCCCATTGTCTACAGAGATTAGATTTTAAACTCCTGCTATTCAAGCTCTCCTCTATTGAGACTCTATTTCCTTTTCAAAGATTATTTCTCCTCTGCATATATTGCTGCACCCAATAGCTCAGCTATACAGACCATTACCTTCTTTCTCATGTCTGACCACAATTACTCTAAGAAGACCATTGTTTCTTTTGTTCCATCTATCTCAATGTCCACCCCTTTGTAAATTCCCAATTATTACCATCCTTTACAGTTCAACACAGATGCTATCTTCACCATATCTACCCTGGTATGTCCTCTACCCTTCAAATGGAAGGATTATCTCACTACCATATATTCCTCTGAGGCTATGTCTGACTCCTCCCAATTGATGCCACATTTTCTATCTTGTGTTCTGTCTGAAAATACTTGTTTTGTCCCCACAATAACAGCTCTGAACTGCCCACTTTCTCTTCTGATTTCCCTGTCCTCTGTTCTTCACCATGCAGTTTGCATCAGTATGTTCAAGGGAGTGAGGAGGGTGGCTTGATTTAGTTAACCCTAATGAGAAAGAATTGAATCAGGCTCTGTGGAAGCCACTGCAAAAACCATAAAGGCCTCTATTCCTGCCTTGCAGGAACATAAAGCTGAATTGAGATGAAAGAGCACACACTCATGAAAATGACTTAAGAACATTCTCAGAGCAGCACATAAATAGATGCAGCTTTATGCAGTGCCCATGGAGTTTGTAAATGCTCGGAGGATGCAGAGTAGGGAGAGCTCAGCAGCTTTGGGATATAATGAGAGTGAAGGCTCAATGGAGGTAAGGAGTTTTAAAGAGAAACTGGAAAGAAGGGAGGCAGAAATACCAGCGGAAAAGAGAGGGGAATTTATCCTGGCGAGTAGCAGTGACTGAGCAGGATGCAGTGATGTCCATTTTCTCCCATGCCTGAGGGCCAAGGCTAGCTCTGTTTTGGAAAGTGAAGGTATATTACTGGCCTAAATCAAAATACCCTCAGGCCCCAATTTACAACATTAGTGAAATTAATCCTTCATGTTTAATAATAAGAGCATGTACTTTGGAGTCAAGCATGCTGGGTTTACATCTTTTATGTATATGATCCTGGGCCTGTGATCCTACCTCTCTAATCCTCAGTTTGCTCAACTGTCTTTAGCACAGCTTGGGGTTCAGAACAAGGGTCTGACAGTAATTAAATTTTTCCTTTTCTAAGTG
The DNA here is from genome assembly GCF_000001405.40 of Homo sapiens. NCBI lineage: Eukaryota > Metazoa > Chordata > Mammalia > Primates > Hominidae > Homo > Homo sapiens. The sequence continues at coordinate 107,861,428 of NC_000010.11, read as the reverse complement.
CTGGTTAGATAATCTTGAAAAAGCCCTTTGACTTCTCTGAGCTTCGTCATTCTCATGGGTGTCCATTGAAGATAAATAAAATAGTGTAGATAGGGGTCTATCTTATCAATACATCTTATATGATATTATCAATATTATTCATTACACTCTGATGATCAGTATGTTCAGCTATAAAATGAAAAAGCTAATAGTCACTTGCTAGGGTTGCATGAAATTAATAAGCCATTATTCAAAATACTGCCCATACAGTGGGTATTCAATAAATGACAGACTGATACTCTTCCAAGACAATATATGCCTGAAGTTAACAAGAAACATCCATTACCATTGTATTTAGTTGATTGTGTAATTTTGTGTTTAATGTCTACTATGTGAGAATGAAATTCCAAGAATTCAGAGATATGTTTGTCTCGTCTATGACTGAATGACTGGCAATAAACAGTTTCTGATATATAGGGTAAATAAATGCATAAACAAGGCCTAGAACAAAAATTTTTAGTGGTAATTGTGGGGACATGCACAGCTGGTCAATGGTAGATTTTTTTATGGAGTAATACATTGTTCAAATTATTTTTAGAGTTGTTGGAATGAGGCCATTTGCATTAAATAAGCAGAGTATTAGTAATTAAGCTGTAGATTTTAACTTTCTCCAGTCTATGTTGTTTTTATTTACACTTTATTTACAACAAATTCATGCTTTTTCCCCCACATTCTTTAACTTTATCTATTGATTCTTCTGATTTTCTCTTATAGATCTTATTACTTACTATACAAATTAAAAGATCTGTGGGCAAAAATAAATCACCTTATAAAAAAGTGCTTACTATTAGAATTTAAGGCATCGTGTCTCCTGAGAATTAGTATAATTTTCAGAAACCTTAATTAGACCCTGGGAGAAGAAAGGTTTGGTCATGACAACTTAACCAATCAGCTAAGTTAGACTTACTTTTTCAATTTGCAATCTTGAAAGTGGCTAAAACTTTATTTGCAAATATTTACTGAGCACCTGCTGTTGGGAAATGCTGCACTAGGTAGAGTGGGAATTAGAGTGAATATGGCACAGCGTCTGCTCCAAAGAATCTTCTATCTTAGTAGTGGAGGAAAAAAATAAATCCATAAAACCTGAGTATGCCACCAGAGCACCTTGATTTTAACACAGAGAAGAGAGAATGCTGAAATAATTTGGAAGCAATTTTTCCAAAGAATGAATAGATACCTTAGATATATGTCTTGCAGGGAGAGAAGTAGGAACTGGCCAGGAGCTTCGGGGAAAACCTGCCTGTTATGTAAAAGAGTTTCAGACTTATTTCCTACAGCTTCAATGGGCAGAGCTAAGGCTGATTAATTTATTATCTCATTCATTCATTCATTCATTCATTTATCTATTCATCAAATCTTTACAGAGCATTAACTAAATGCCAGGAATTGTTGTAAGTGCTACAGTGAAAAAAATAAAATAAAACTTTGTTCCCCAATGAATAGGAATGATCCATAGAAAGCTGTAAAGGAGACAATCTTCAGAAGATGGACTTACTCAAAACCAGAGCTTTTCAGAGATAAGCTTCCAATAAGACAAGGTCAAAAATCTCTCACAGAGGTTCCTAATTGTTAATGCATGGAAAATATTTAATACATTTATTCATTTAGCAAATATTATTGTTTACTACAAGTCATGAGCCTTGCTAAGTGTTGGGAATACAGAAATGATTAAGTTAGGCAAGCTCTCTGTCTATATGGAGATTACATTCTAAAGGAAACATTTATAAAAATATTTCAGATGATGAGTATAAAAATTATAAAGCATAATTTATAATTATGATAAAAGAGTCTGAATGGGATGTTTTAAATTGGATAATCAGGGAGAGTTCTTTTAAGAAGGGGTATTTGAGCTGAGACATAGGTTACTGTGATATGGAATCCAGATTCTTCCATTTTAGGTCCAAGGTACTCATTCTGTCAGTTGCTAGAAGGCGTAGCAACTAATATCTTTCAGTTGAGTTTCTCCCTCTTGCGATTGTCCTTGGCTGTAGATTGGCCTCACCTAACTCCATTATGCTTTCCATATAAAGGCCTAGGCACCTAATTCCTAATAAGATGCAATCTTACAGGGCCTTACTAGCTCCAAAACTCCCCTGTCTGATCGATTGAGACTTTGAGGTTGCAGTGCCTCTCTACTTCTCCTTTTCTTACTTCCCTTACAGGACTTGATTCTGAGAAATCTCCCCAGAAAATTGTCAGCTTCCCAGACTGCTTCCACATGACCTGTGACAGATGTAATTGGTAAGAAGTTGGCCAGACATTAAGATAAAATATTAAATCGATGTCATTCATGGTACCATTATGAATACAAGGCCGTCTAAGAAGATGGGACTCTTTTCTGGTTCCCAGACCAGCGTGATATCAGCCAGCTGCCCTCTCATGGTTGTTTTCTCCTGACCAGGATTGGCTCAACATTCTTTTAGCTTGATGAAATTTTAGACATGTTTTTCCCTCATTATTTTCTGCATAATCATCCTGATTATGAGCCCCTGACCTCCCTTTTCTTGGACTACCTTAGAAAATTTGCAATTGTAAATTCTTTCTCTTCCCCTTTGAGTTGTTAATTCTTCTTTCAGGCTTTTGCTAGTCATACAATCCAAGAATGTCGTTCTCAAGGACCTGGAGGCTATCCCTTTAAAATATATTAATCAAGAAAAGACAGAATCCCTATCTCCCAGTCTTTGTTGGAGAGTAAGAACCTAACTTTAATAAGCAGAAATTAGCAAACAGAGAAAGTCTAATTGCATCAGACAAACTTCTCCCCAGTGCCTTCTAGTAGTTTTCCACTAGCTCACCCCAGCCCCCAAAATCTTTCCTGCCTTTCATTTTAACAGAAAGTTTTCAATCTCTCTAGCCTATTGCAATTGCCTTCAGTAGAGTTTTCCTTGCGACTTGGCTCTATCTAATGCATTCTTTGACACTTATTTTATCTATTAGTGATTTTGTCAAACAGGAAGGCAGGTGGAGAAGAATGGCTGGGATTGGCAGGGCCTAGCTCTTCTAAAAACAATTTATGCTCTAGATTATCTGAATTTCTCCAGGTCAGGAACATGGAAGATTACAAAAGTCCTATTAGACTCCTGGAAAGACAGCAAGAATATATCTGCTGATTTCTCAGAAATTCAGTCTGATAATAAGCTGGTGAAGAGCATGCCTTGGAGAGGCAAGCATGAGAACCAAGCCTGGGTTCTAGCATGGTCTGAAAGAGCAGTTGAGATTTCAGGTCTTAGGATATGAATAGGGAATCTCCAAAATTGATACTGAGTATCCTAAACCATGAAGATCTTTCTCTAAGAGCTTTTTTCTGCCCCGATGATTTCATATCAACTTCCCCAAAAATAATCATGGTGCTTCAGAGAGTTTAATTATTACAGTTACACAATGGTCTATTGAGCCGACACACTGAAATTTACCTTACAAACTCCTATGGCATTTGAGCAACTTCTAGATGTTAGACTTTTTTTTGTTTGCTTTAACGTTAATTTTTATTTATGAAAATTCCCAGCAGTAGATGACTAGGTCAAAGCTATTTTTATGGCTCTTGTAACCTGGTCAGACTCTCCTTTCGAATTATAGAAACAATTTACTTCGCTGCCAACATTTGAGTGTACCAGTATCCCACAATCTTGCTCATTTTTTAACCAATTTAAATATATTGTTTTTGCTATTTCTTTGAGATCTGGAAATCATTTTGATAAAATTTGAATGTATTTATTTACTATATAGTCTCCTTTTTCCCTCTAGGTAGCATAATGAAGACTCTTGAGATATGTTTCAGATATCTGTCCTGGGACTCAGCTCTCCTATTACATCTTCTCATTGACTAGGTTTAAAGAATTCTTCCTGTATTTCTTTGCATGTGGTATGAACAATGATAAAGCATTGGAGCACTGATGTTCCCTAAAGCAGGTCTCATACTGGAGCAGTGGGAGACTCCTTTTACATCTAGGAGATACACATTCGTCCCACTACCTGTATGCTTTCTTTCCTAAGCCTCACAACTATGAGATATTGTATTAAAATCAACTAAGAGAAGCTTAAAAAACTAAGAAGACCCATAGGGGTCACTTTAGCATGAGGCAGCCAGGTAGGAATGGGCAATAGCATATTGACTGAAAGCTAATAAGCTAACTGCATGAGACTTAATTTCATTATCAGTTTTTTTAAAAAACTGTATTACGTTCAGCATTCAACATTTTCCAAGAAGAGTACTCACATTTTGAAATAAATTGAAATAATACACAAGTGTGAAAATTTTAAAAATGATCATTATTTTCTATTTTTACTACTGGGAGATATCCAGTGTGTTAAGATTTTACTTATATAGATTTTAAATATTATTTAAAATATCATTATTAAGTAATATAAGCATACAAGAAAAAATAGGGAAGAATGCAATAAACACTTATCTGTTTATAAATACCCAGCATTATCAAATTCCTATAATTCAGAGTTTTAAAATGTTTGTTTATATGCATTACTAGATTGGCACATGTTTTCATTCTTTTTTTTTTTTTTTTTTTGGTGATGCAATTATAGTCTGCATACAATTCCTTTTCTTGCACAGACATTTTCCCAAGTCAGTACATCTGGGATAATAGTTCTCAGAGTGGCTGTATATTATATTCACATGAAGAGATTTTAAAAGTTATACCCCATGTTCATCGCTTTATGTTCAAAAGTGTCTTTTAGGGCTTTTAAATCTTTACTGGATTTTTACATAATTTTGAATTACGTTCCCCAAATTGCTTATTTATTACAAAGAGAAAGAGTGAGATTAGAATCATGGTGATATGAATGTGTTGATAATTTCACATGTATACATGTATAAAAAATCAAGTTGTACATCTTAAATATATACAATTTTTGTCAATTATACTTCAATAAAGCTGAAAAAAGAACACACTATAAACATGTCACTTTTTACATACATATCTATTTCTATTGTATTTTTCTAAAGCTATTAATGTACAAGTTTTACAAAGAATGTGGTTAACTTATAATGGACTTGGAATTTGAAGAATAGTCTGTCAGACTCAGGGCCAGCAATATAAGTCCTGATTCGTTCCTTCTTGAGTTTCAGGGGTGTGTGTGTGTGTGAATGCATATGTCTGTGTACACACATATGTAGTATTTATGCCTGGCATGTATACAATATGGGTCCATATATGCAACTGAGCAGGTATTTTAGAACATCTGATGACCTTGTCATTTCAAGAACTGTGGCCACAGATTGAGAAATAAAGCACCCTTTCAGTAGTCTGAGTATTTCTCAACAAAAGTAGAGACTTGCCCATCCTTAGTCATTTCTATGGGAGGAGTGGCCTCTCATTTTATGCTTTTATAGGGACGTCTATTCCCAGCCCATAGTTTATGAGCAACATTCTGTCAGCAGGCAGGAATAGTGGCTCGCTATAATTAATTCCCTTCTTGCTCCCCCACCTCTGAGAGTGAGAAATAAAAGGGCATTAAAGGGAATGTAGTTACAACCCACAAAGGGACCACATAAAATGTCACCTTTTGGCTCAACACATTGTTCCCTTCGTGACTCCTAGTCCTGAATTTCCATCTCACAGGGCAGGCAGAGTGTATTGTCAGCTGAGACCCAAGAGAGACACATTGGCAGTCAATCTGCATGATATGGTAGGGGTATTAGTTAAAACTTTACTGAAAGTTAAGATCTGTGTCAAAGGTTTTTCCTTGTCCTATGTGCATTACATGGAAGACAGAAGAAAACAAGGAAAAGAGATGAATTGCTGTTGCAATTTAAAGTATGGGGGCAGAGAGTTGAGTGTGAGCTGCAGAATTTCTATGTGACAACATAGAATAGTGGTGAAGTTACTCAACTTTTGTGGGCTTCAGTCCTCCTGCCTCCCTTTGTAGCATTAGCATCATAATACGTGTCTCCCAATGTTTCAGGGAAGAGTAAGTGGGTTTAGATATATGTAGTGAATACCACAGTACCTGACATATAGTCAGTTCTCAGTGCTGATAATCATATAAATTGAAAGCAATTAAAACACCCCCATTTATCTTCCCATGCATAATTTATAAAGCACATTCACATCATGCAAATTCATCCTCACAACACTCAACATTCAATTAAGATAAGCATGCACTCTTGTTTCCCTTTGCACAACTTTTGCAAGTTGAATGGCTGGTTTGGTTAGATTCAATCCAGTGTTCTTTCCATTAGAGCAGCTGCCACCTAGAGAAGAGGACAATGTTTCTCCCAGCCATTGAACATGCTGCATGTCTCTGTTGAGGGGCCACCATCAAAACTCAGGCCCTGCTGTTCTCCTCTAGGAGGACAGATGGTCTTAAGGAATATAGGGACCTTCTAGACCGGAATCCTCACACCAAACCTTTAGTCTATGGTAATCACTGTTTACAAAAGTTTAATCTTGTTCCCTTCTTTAAAAGTTTCAGAGCATTGGTGTTTATTGACTTTTTTGTTTCTTTAAAAAAGAGGACAAGCCAGGCACGGTGGCTCACGCTTGTAATCCCAGCACTTTGGGAGGCTGAGGCGGGCAGATCACCGGAGGTCAGGAGCTCGAGACCAGCCTGACCAATATGGTGAAACCCCGTCTCTACTAAAAATACAAAAATTAGCCAGGCTTAGTGGTGGGCGCCTGTAGTCCCAACTATTCGGGAGACTGAGGCAGGAGAATGGCGTGAACCCGGGAGTCAGAGCTTGCAGTCAGCCGAGATTGTGCCACTGCACTCCTACCTGGGCCACAGAGCGAGATTTCGTCATGAAAAAAAAAAAAAAAAAAGACAGCATTTTCTCTATACAATATGCATGCAATTCAAGGTTCTCTTTTTCTAAAAATCAGGAAAAGTACATTTTGGAAAAGGTTGGTGCAACTCTAAGGCATGGATTTGATTTCCTCTCCTCTCCAACAGGGCATGGGCGACGCGATGCCACAGTGTGACTTTTTGCATCTTCAGAAAGGTATGGAGGAAAGGCTTAGAGGTTCTGAGGAAGGAGAATTCTACAGTAAAATGCAGATATTCCTTCCCTAGCATTTTTATCAGTCTTTGATAGTTTTTGGAAGTAAGGAAAAAGCAACGGGTCGAGGGCTTTATTCTCTTTTTAAAAGTGAGAGAATAAAGACAGAACAGGGAGGCAGAAGACAGAACAGGGAGACAAGGGAATATGAGAAAGTTTCAGCTCTGCATTCTTGAGCCTTATATCTTTAGGTTGCCAATTTAGAAAACACAAAAAGTACATAGTAGTTTTATGTTTAATTTTTATTAGTAAAACATCCATATACTCATTTTTAGTTTGCTGAAACTAAAATCTGTTATCAAAGCATTCCGGTGCAAGGTATCATTCTACAACTCTGGAGACCTTGCTTCTTTCAAATCATAACAGCATGATTAGGAATGTTCTCACAGAGCCAAGGAGGGAAGGAGACAGTGAATGGAACTTTATTCCTCTACCACTCATCCTATATTATTTTATTAAAATTCATATATAAGCATTTACTGAGCATCTACTTTATGAAAGGAGGAGTTGTCCGTGTTCCATTATTTCTGGATTCCAGGATAGAAAGTGTGTGATTCTGGAGAAACAGACTCAACAGAAGTGAGTGCTGGTGTCCCAATATAGGATCCAGGGAAAGAGTGTGGATAAATCATTCCCTTGTGCTATAAAAGCTACCAGAGGCTTCCTGGTGCTCAGATGGTATATATGAACACCACCTTCTGTGCTAGAAGATTATTCTGCCTTGATGTGCTCTGGCTGGAATGTGACTGCCAAATACTGGAAAGTATTCAGAAGGGTACATCATGATGAGGAGGCGGTGGAGACAGCAGGAATCATTTATGTCATGGATTAAAGGAAATTATATCACCCGAACTACAAGAGGATGTACAATTGTCCAGCCCAAGTTTTTTATCTGGGAGATGAAAAATCTGAGATTCAGAAAGGAAAGGTTACTTTATCTAAGTCAGCCAGTTAGAGAGCAGCAGGAAGATTAAAATTCACATACTCCAATTTCATGTTTGATGCTTATTTTCATAGATACACATAAACAGGAAGTCCTGGGAAGAGAAGATGTTAGCTGTGTCTTTCTACCACCCAGAGGCTTCACCTCTATCATGCTTCTAAAATAAAATACCAGGTTGATGTTCTGACCATGGGCCATAAACCAGGGTTAAGGAAGCCCAAGGAGACTGGTCTTCTTCTCAAGGCATCCTCTCTTCTTTGTTAAGGACACTCCACAGGTAGGCAAGACAGAGTCCTAACAGGGCTATAAAACCACCACTTAATTTATTCCTTCCCCACTCTAGTCGGGTAGAGGCCCAGTGCTTCCTATACCCATCCAGACTTAGCAGCTCCTGGGGCCAAAGTGGTTATATTTGTTCAACAGTACAGAAGAGAGGTCCATGAACCAGACTACCAATGGTGCTGGGTTTAGGAAACAAAGACTGGAAATTGTAACATCTTTTGTAGTTCTTTTGGATAGACTGTACCTTTTTGGCAATGTTTGTTTTTCATCATTTGGATGTGCAAATACTTAAGCTCATCAAAGTGGTACAAACCTAACAAAATTTTCCCTTATAGACAATAACAGTCAGAAAGGAACTTAAGCCTTCTCTACTCTACCTGGAACATAGGAAGTGCTCAATATGTGCTAATAGTTGTCAAGTAAGCAATTAAAAAAATGTGTATTGTATGCTCACACTTTACTTCACTATGAGAATATAAGCGAAAGCAAAACAGACACGGTCCTCCTGATATTTAGCTTGCAATTTTGCAGATGTAGATACCTTAAATAATGATCAATTATAGTGGATCAGTGTCTTTTCAAGGTAAAGGTAATACAAGATTGAACCACAGGGACACTAACCTAGTTCAGGGAGGCAAAAATATCCTCACAAGAAAGGCATTTAAAAAATTATTTTATTTTGATTTTACTTTAAATTCCAGGATACATGTGCAGAACATGGAGGTTTGTTACATAGGTATACGTGTGTCATAGTGGTTTGCTGAACCTATGAACCCACCCTCTAATTCCCTCCCCTCACCTTCCAACTCCTAACAGGTACTGGTGTGTGTTGTTCCCCTCCCTGTGTCCATGTGTTCTCATTGTTGAACTCCCACTTATGAGTGAGAACTTGCAGTCTTTGGTTTTCTGTTACTGTGTTGGTTTGCTGAGGATGATGGCTTCCAGCTTCATCCATGTCCCTGCAAAGGACATGATCTAATTTCTTTTTATGGCTGCATAGTATTCCATGGTGTATATGTACCACATTTTCTTTATCCAGTCTATCATTGACAGGAATTTGAGTTGGTTCCATTACTTTGCTATTGTAAATACTGCTGCAATAAACATACATGTGCATGTGCCTTTATAGTAGAATGATTTATATTCCTCTGGATGTATATCCAGTAATGGGATTTCTGGGTCAAATAGTATTTCTGGTTCTAGATCCTTGAGGAATCACCATGCTGTCTTCCACAATGGTTGAACCTAATTTACATTCCCACCAGCAATGTAAAAGTGTTTCTATGTCTCCACAGCCTCACCAGCATTTATTGTTTCTTGACTTTTTAATAATCGCCATTCTGACTGCCACGAGATGGCGTCTCATTGTGGTTTTGATTTGCATTTCTCTAATGACCAGTGATGTTGAGCTTTTTTTCATGTTTGTTGGCTGCATGAATGTCATCTTTTGAGAAGCATCTTTTCATATCCTTTGCCTACTTTTTTGATGGCGTTGTTTGTGTTTTCCTGTAAATTTGTTTAAGTTCCTTGTAAATTCTGGAAATTAAACCTTTGTCAGATGGGTAGATTGCAAAAATTTTCTCCCATTCTGTAGGTTTTCTGTTCACTGTGATGATGGTTTCTTTTGCTGTGCAGAAGCTCTTTAGTGTAATTAGATTCCATTTGTCAATTTTGACTTTTGTTGCAATTGCTTTTGGCGTTTTCATCATGAAGTCTTTGCCCCTGCCTATATCCTGAATGGTATTGCCTAGGTTTTCTTCTAGAATTTTTATGGTTTTGGGTTTTACATTTAAGTCTTTAATTCATCTTGAGTTAATTTTTGCATAAGGTATAAGGAAAGGATCCAGTTTCAATTTTCTTCATATGGCTAGTCAGTTTTCCTGGTAACATTTATTAAATAGGAGATCCTTTTCCCATTACTTGTTTTTGTCAGGCTTGTCAAAGATCAGACGGTTGTAGATGTGTGGTCCTATTTCTGAGTTCTCTATCCTCTTCCATTGGTCTATGTATCTGTTTTTGTCAGTACCATGCTGTTTTGGTTACTGTAGCCTTGTAGTATAGTTTGAAGTCAGGTAGTGTGATGCCTCCAGCTTGTTCTTTTTGCTTAGGATTGTCTTAGGTATATGAGGTCTTCTTTGATTCCGTATGAATTTTAAGGTAGTTTTTTTCTAATTATGTGAAGAATGTCAATGGTAGTTTGAGGGGAGTAGCATTGAACCTATAAATTACTTTTGGCATTATGGCCATTTTCACAGTATTGAGTCTTCCTATCCATGAGGATGGAATGTTTTGCCATTTGTTTGTGTCCTCTCTAATTTCCTTGAGCAGTGTTTTGTAGTTCTCCTTTAAGAGGTCCTTCACATCCCTTGTTAGCTTTATTCCTAGGTATTTTATTAACTTTGCAGTGATTGTGAATGGGAGCTCATTCATGATTTTGTTCTCTGCTTTTGTCTATTGTTGGTGTAAATGAATGCTTATATTTTTTGCACATTGATTTTGTATCCTGAGGCTTTGCTGAAGTTGCTTATCAACATAAGGAGTTTTTGGGCTGAGATGATGGGGATGGGGGTTTGCTAAATATAAAATCATGTCATCTGCAAACAGAGACAATTTGACTTCCTCTCTTCCTATTTGAATACGCTTTATTTCTTTCTCTTGCCTGATTGCCTGGCCAGAACTTTCCAGTACTATGTTGAATAGGAATGGTGAGAGAGCGCATCCTTGTCTTATACCAGTTTTCAAAGCAAATGCTTCCTGCTTTTGCCCATTTAATATGATATTGGCTGTGGGTTTGTCATAAATAGCCCTTATTATTTCGATATATGTTTATTGAGAGTTTTTAACATGAAGGGATGTTGAATTTTATCAAAGGCCTTTTCTGCATCTATTGAGCTAATCATGTGGTTTTTATCTTTGGTTTTGTTTATGTGATGGATTACGTTTATTAATTTGCGTATGTTAAACCACCATGCATCCCAGGGATGAAGCCAATTTGATTGCGGTGGATAAATTTTTGATGCGCTGCTGGATTCAGTTTGCCAGTATTTTACTGAGGATTTTCGCATCCATGTTTATCAGGGATATGGGCCTGAAGTTTTCCTTTTTTTTGTTGTGTCTCTGCCCGGTTTTGGTATCAGGATGGAGATGGTACCATTCCTTCTGAAACTATTTCAAACAATTGAAAAGGAGGGACTCCTCCCTAACTAATTTTATGAGAAGGCCTTTTAAGTTGAGATCTGATGGATCAGTAGAGGTTGGCCAGGCAACTCAAATCAGTGTAGCACTGAGGCATTTTGAGGCTGGGGTGTGCAGGTTTCCCAAGTAGAAATATCGTAAGTTGAATTTTACAGTAAACTTGTGGTTTTCACCCTATCAAGAAGAAAAGACAAAAATAATAATTAATGAAACCAATCACCTGGCTTATTATAGCAATCTAGAGTAGGCTTGCCAGTGAAGAACTGAGGTTCTCAGTCTAACAGCCTATGAGGAATTCAATGTTAACAACAGCCATGTGAGAACTTGGAAGGGAAACCTCCCTCAGGTGATCCAGTGATGACCATAGCCCCTGTGAGAAAATAACAAATGTTGTTTTAAGTTGCTACTTTGGTGATATTTGTTATGCAGAAGTAGATAATTAATACACCATTACTTGCTGGGACCAAGACTTGTTCAGCCTCATTTTTGTATGTCTTCTTTAAGTTCTTGTCCAAATCCCTTAAAAAAGGGGAGGAGGAGTAAAATTTTTTGTCATAATTTTTCTCAGTGAAGACAGACATCAAACAAACTATGAACCACACGAATGTAGACATATTGGATTGTTCGTAGTCGTAGAAGTCTGAGTCAGTGGTTGATTGACATGAAAGCATCCCATTATGCAGAAACTGTATCATAACATTGATTAATGCCTCATGTCAAAACAAGGCCTTTGGAATTCTCAGCCTATGGTGCACTTTGGGCTAAAGGAGGTTAAATGAAGAAGGTTGGAAGCCAATTCCAGAAGAAGAGCAGAAGCTGCTGCCATATTCTTTTCAACACCGCGTTTTTTACGAGTGTATCTCCAGATGGCTTCCATGGATGCCACACATCATTCCCAGTGAGTTTGTTTCCCTGGCCTCCTTTCCCTCAAGGGCCCCCAAAAACAGAGATGTGATTTGTAATCTCTCAGCAACCTGGGGCAGCTCTCATGTTAATAACCAAGGAGAAAATTTTTTCCTTGGGGAATCAAGATTCCTCTGTGCCCTCTGCCTCCCACTTCTCTAAGGGGAAATATGACTGCCAAGTATATTCTTAGAGATGCTTAAAAAGCACATACGCAGCAACGTGTTCTGGCAGAAATACAGGCAAGAATGAGGATAAGATATTTCTAGACAAAAATACAAGGAATGTATGCATACAAGAAAAACCAAATTTATGTGATCTTTTTGCCTCTCCCACAGTCCTGGGGACCAACATCCCAAGAGTTTTGTTTTCCTTCTGTTTGTTTTAATATTTTGATTATGGAATATTTCAAACTTATCCAAAAATAAGATAATATGACAAACTCCTATGTACCTTATTTCTTTTTCAACAATTATCAAGTCATTTATATTTTATCTGGACCCTTCACTCACTCCCACCCCTAACACACACAGAAGACTATATTTGATGCATCTCTCAGAAATATAACATTGGTCTGGGGAAGTATATATAATACCTCCCAGTGGTATTTTTTTCCTAGTACCATATGTGAAGAGAATCCATAGGTAATAAGGTAATAAGACTTTTCCTAGATCTTCTGTTTATTAAACACTGTTATATTGAATCCTCATAATGATGCTCTGAAGAGAGTACTATTGTTAATTTTATTTTTCTGATGGAGAAACTGGTCCGATGAAATGAGGTCAGTTGCTCAAGGTCAGATGATCATCCCATGATTTGAAGTGAGGTCTGTCAGAAAACTGTTAAGAACACTTTATCCAAGAGTTATATGGTACCTCAAAAGGATTAGATTTTCTCCTTTTCTAAAATAGGCTTGTTGTTTTCCGTGCAAGAGGAAGCAACACAAACCTTCACTTTTTGTTCTTTGCTGAAATAAGAAAGTGGGGCACCTAAGGATCTTGCGGTGCTTATGCTGAAAGCACTTTGAACGAAAGCCATGGCTCAGCTCAGGACTTCCAACTGGGATGACACAGAATGAAAATAGGGAGAGAGAACAGTTTATTTCAGCTCTAATCAGAATAAAAGCAAATGGATCAATGTTTACCAAATGAAACTTGTCTAGGATAGCACTTACTTTCTAAGTCTCACAGGTATTACAAACCGAAACAGGAAATGAAAAGCTGTTAAAATAAATGGTTCACTAGTGTTCTTTAACCAACTATCAGCACTTCCGTAAAAAGAAAACTTTTACAACCCCCCAACACTTGTTTATTCTCTAAGTTGAAACTCATATATCCTCTTGGTAGGTCAGCATTAAATTAGGGTAAAGACTTCTAAGTCTCAGGTACTACTATTTGAAAGGAAGTTGAGATAAAATTTAAAAGAAGAAAGACAAATAATTTTTAATACATGTGAGTGTTTGTAGGCAATCTGTTGCTGGACCAAGAGGAAAGTTGATAACAAGGCAATAAAAATATCCCAATATTAGTCAAGTATTACATTTTAATTTTATGTGCTGAAAAAGATTTATTAATATGACATTTTCAGAATTTGCCTTTCCTATTTTCCCATGATGTTTACAGAGGAATTTTTTGTTTCTCTCAATCTCTTTTCTTCCCTCATGTTCCTAGGAAGCATCTGGAGAAGGGGAAAGGGAGGAAGACAATAGGAATAAAGTAAAATAATGATAGCGATCTCTGTCTAATATTTTTCACTGGTACCTAGAGTTATGAAAGCTACGTATTTTTATAGGGCTAGTAGGTTTTCAATGGGGTTTTAAGGAGAGTGGAGGAAGAGTTATTGTAGTAGGTTTTAAAATATGTATATGAAGAGACTCAAGTCATTTTGTGTAATTACTTTAGTATATCTGGATTATGTGTCTTTAATGGCCTCATTAAAGGGTTCCAGGCATGAACCCTGTGGGTCACAACTTTTATATAAGCAGTATGTATTGGTCCTGATCCTCCAGTTTGTAGGAAGACTTCAGCAATTTTTCCTCTGCATTCTTTCCTCCTCTGCTGACTTTTGCTTACAGTAGAAACAGTTGTTTTAAATGCTTGCTCAGTACAGTGGAAAAGTCCTGAATTTGCCAAAAGTAAAATTTTGGTAAAGTAAATGAATGTGTAAAGAAGCATAAACAGCTTTGAAGGACTCTGGCATCTGTTTTTGAAGCTCTGCGTGTGTTTTCTGCAATTAAAATCCCTTTCCATTCTCTCAATTTTGTATCTCCCCAAGGAAGCTCAAATCAGCCCACTCTCTCAAATAAATGCTGCTTAAGGGAGGTTCATTCACAGGGACTGGGATTTACTCAAGAGGTGGTTTGAATATTTGCAGAATATTTGATATCCCAACATTCTTTGCTTGAGCTGTTAGTAACCTTGGGAGGAATTCAACAGAGGTGGTTGTCACTGAAAAAGGCAGGGGTGGCTGCTGAACATTAGCGATCTCGATTGGAAGCAAAAGTGCTCAATTTGCAGAGGAGATGGGGGGAGAGTGAGAGGATGCCCTGATACATTTAGCCAAATATAAATAGTGAACATTTATTAGTCATTTATTATAATGGCAGGCATTGTGTTTCTTCCCAATAACCCTGAGAATTATGTTGCATTAATATCCCCCTTTCACAAAAGGAAAATATGAAATTTAATGAGCCTGCAAACATTGCCCATTGTGTGTTTCAGGTAGTAATTTTCAGAGCTGAATCTGAGTCTAAGTCCATTTAATACTGAAGTTTAAACTTTTATTATTCCTTTTCTTTATTTTTTTACTTTTCAGAATGTTTAGGTAGTGTTTGATCATTTAAATGGAACTAGCTGTCAAAGTACTGGGTTTTGGAAACATATTCATATTTAGTAAGAATATATTATATGAGTCAGGTTCTTTCTAGATATGGAGGAGGTCACAAAGATGAATAAAGTCCAGTATCTTTTCATGGAATCTGTAGGCTGTTAGAATAAGGTTTTCTAAAGAAAGGCAGATTATCAATGACACAAGACAAGAATAAACAAAGGGTTATGTGAGTTTACAGGTGAGAGGAGTTCCTTCAGGATAGGGAAGAGAACTTGTGAGCTGGTTCTGAAGTTCAGTGAGAAAGCTTTAGAGCAAAATGGTCATGAAACAGCACAATTGGAATACTGAGCTACAATTCACCACTGAGAAGACTGGTTTGATCCACACATTTTTTTTGTTTAAAAGTATCCTCAGAGCACTTCAATTCTTCTGAAGGTTAATTAATGGATGCATCGAGTGTTACGGTAAAGATTAAGTGAGGTGGTGCTGGAGGGATGATGAAGAATTGAAAGTATTATGGAAATTTTCTGCTAAGTCATTTTTCTATGAAACAGCAATGGTTTCTTGTGAGTGTTTTTTTTTTTTTTGTTTTGTTTTGAGACAAGGTCTCATTTTGTCACCCAGGCTGGAGCACAGTAGCACTACCATATGTCACCATAACCTTGACCTCCTGGGCTCAAGAGATCCTCCCACCTCAGCTTCCTGAGTAGCTAGGACTACAGGGGTGTAACATCATGCCTAGCTATTTTTTTGTTTGTTTTTGTAGACACAGGGTCTCACCATGTTGACCAGGCTGGTCTCAAATGCCTCAGCTCAAGTGGTCCTCCTGCCTCAGCCTCCCAAAGTGATAGGATTACCAGCATGAGCCACTATGCCCAGCAGAGACAGCAAATTTGATGGCAGCAACAGTATCAAATTCCTGAGTACATTTCTGAGTAAATTGTTTAAATCCTCACTCTAGTTATGTTTTAATTTGCAAATCTAACAGCTAACTTCCCTAGAATGTGCAAAAGATAAAAAGTCCTCTGTAGATTTTGATTTAAAGTGTGCTTTGACGCTAGATCCAGGCCTAAGGAGCGGCTTTAGGCACCCTAAGCAGAAAAGAAATTGTATTTTCTTTTGAAGAAAGATCTTCTAGCATCTTGTGCCTTCCAGAAAATAGCTAGCGCTTGTCAGAAATAAATGCAAGAGGAGTTGTTTTCCCGATGCTTTACTCACACAAACATGTCACGGTAAAGTCAATGTGTAAGCTGCATCATACATTTGACTGGACTTTGAACCTCGCTTTATAGAATCACTTGCTTGGGGCATGTCCAAAATGTTGGTTTGAAACTGCACATAAAGCCACTAGCTGGTCGTCTGTGGAGATGTTACTGTGAGATACTTCAATTACTTTTTTCTTCAATTACTTTTTTTCTTCAAATCTTCTGCACAGTGTTCTTCCACTTACTTCACCAATATTTCCATGATTCTAGGCTAAAAAGTTGAGATTATGTGAAAGTACATGGATTTTACTAACCAGAGTGTGACCAACAATCCCGGTATTCTCTCTGCAGATGACAGAAATGAAGTCTTTAATGGTGTGGAGCCTACACTAGGACCATCTGGACTGGGATTTGCAAGTCCACCTCCTACTATGAGAGAGTCAGAATGTAACTGCTGTTACAGAGAGTTCAGAGCCTTGATGAATTTGGAGTTAGATAGACCTTTGTTCAAATCTGAGCTCTACTAATTAATAGCTGTGCATTCTCGGATAAGTCTGTTAACTTCTTTGAGGCAAGGACTAAGAGTGCAAGGGGAAACTTTGTGGAAGGAATAGATGTGGAAGACCTAAAATATGGAAGAGAGTTTACCAAGATATTGATACTCTAAGCCTGCATTTGATAACATTTAGATGCATCTGCATGAACGTGGAAATTCTCATAAAATGGAATTGAACAAGAATGTTGGCCACTTCTGAGTAAGAATTACATTAAATTACTTGCAGGATTTCCCTTTCAGACATGTTCACTAGACTTCTCTGAGGCTCCAGATTTTCCACCCATTTGTGCTGTCCTCTTAGCCTAGAACATTCAGTGTTAAGCTGAGGATGCACCCCATCAGAGAAAGAGGGAAAACAAGGCAAGCGTCTCTCTCTCTCTCTCTCTTTCTCACTCTTTGTCTCTCTCTCTCTCTCTGTCTCTCTCTCTCTCTCTCTCTCTCTCTGTGTGTGTGTGTGTGTGTGTGTGTGTGTGTGTGTGTGTGTGTGTGTGTTAAAGAAATATGAGCTCTAAAGCTCAGATATGCCTGTCTTTTTACAGTTAGGATTTACAGTAAAATGCTGCTAGGTCATAAGACTTTGACTCTCTTGACAGCCAATGGGTTTGAATTTAGTATTTGTGGGGAGAAGGTTACCAATCATGGTGAAAAGTTCTGGCATTTCATTGTGAATTATCAAAACCTATTACTGTTGGATAATTCATCAGACATCAAAGTTATGTCTTCTTCAGAGTCTTTGGAGTGTGAGGGGATTTTTGTGGTGATTGTGTTAGTTTCTTAGTACTTTCTCATTTTCCTATTTGAACCAAGTGTTTGTCTAACTGGCCTGTTTAGACTGTGATCATTCCTTATGTGCACCATCTAATGATCACATTACCCACCTCCCTCACCCCTTGAAATGTGGAGTTTGTCTGCTAACATGTAAGACATGAGCACTAGGATCAATATTACTGAACGCCAAGACGTAGCCTGTCTTTAGATTTAGACTTTGACTTAGCTTGGGTTCAACTACTTGAGGCCAGTATTCAATAAAAGTTAAAGTAGGATGGGAGGAGGGAGAAAGGCATAAAATAAAATGAAATACCATCATAAATATTAAGTCTATGGCCTCTCTCTTTCCTGGAAACACAGCTATGGTATAAAGCAGGGCTGTATTTACAATGAATTAATGAAATTTTTATTTGAATAATCACACCAAAAATTGCTTCCAATTTTTCTTAATCTCTCTCAATGTTATCACATATTATTTGCTTTTTCCATTTTTCAAGACATCGTATTTTTAAATTTGTTTACCTGGTAAAACCTATTGGTTTCTGCCAGAGACTTGTTAACTAGAAAAGAGCAATTTCCCTTTTTCATTCCAACCTCATACAATTGCCTGAACTAAAAAATAATGAAAAACATGAACAATTTTGAAGAGCAGCACTGTTAGAAATGAGCACTGTTAGAAATCCACTGAAATATCAGTGGATTTATTGGAAAACATCTCTGTAGAAAATCAGGATTGGTTTTCCAAGTTTATGAGAGAAGGAAAATCGTTTAATCAATATTGTCCAAATTAATTACAGGAAATGGTAACATGTATTACACAAACTATGTTTTGTCATTTGGAAAACATCGTATTAAATATTTTTAACAACAGAACTTGTTCAGAGCCTTTAACATATCACTGTGTGTAAGAGAATCCCCGATATAGTTTACAGCAACAATGTCTTTCTCTTAGGCTTTATTTTAGGACTAATCTTCAGTGAAGCACATTTAGGAAAGCTGACTCAGATAGCTTATTTTAACACTGATTGATTCAATCGGATAACTAGGATGGGAGCACATACCTAATCTTTAAAGAGAGATAGTATGAGGGTTCATGACATGACTACAATTTGCATATTGGTGTCTCTTTCAGAAACAGTCTTAGAAGGATGAAAAGATTCAGCCAAAATAAATAGCTTTGGAAGACACTCTTGGTTATAGTCTACCCAGTAGTCCTTCTACCTAACAGTGCTTCTTCTTGACAGTAATTTTTTTTCTTTTCTGGGCAAGAGGGTGGCAGGGTGGGTAGTGTTAATTGCATTAATGTTATTGCCCCTTTTATAGTTTTCCTTGCAACTATGGGTTTCCAGGTGACTCAGTTATGGTAAATTACACAAAAGGAAAATACTATTAGTAAAAGATGTGCATTTGAGAGGAGATAGAGTTCTTAAGTACCAGATCTTCCATTTCTGCTTCATTGATTCTGTTTAGATGGCTTGTGACCACCTTGTAAAGGTGAGGCCAACATGTTCAATGTATACATTTAACTTCATTCTTTCTTTGATATAAGCACCTTTACTTCACTCTCTTTATCCAGGCTCTTTCTTTGAATGTTTAGAGAAATGGCCAGTGAGTTGATAACTTTTACTAACTTACACAACATTCAAATAGTTTCTATTTTGACTTCTCTTTGACTTATTTTTTATTGTATGATGATCAAACAGGTAAATGGCTCATAAGAAACTTACCTATGTTCCTCAAAGTTACCACAGTAGGGCCTGTGATATTTTAAAAAATGGAAGAAAAAAATATATATTAAAAAAGAGTTCCTTATGATGTGGAGGTGCATTCCTTCTACACCTAAATTATTGATAGTTCTTATCATGAAAGGGTGCTGAATTTTGTTAAAAAGCTTTATCTGTATCTGTTGAGATAATCATATGATTTATATTTTTAATTATGTTAATATGGTGAATCACATCTATTGATTTGTATGTTGAACCATCCTTGTATCCTAAAGATAAATCCCACATGATCATGATGTATGAACTTTTAATGTGCTGTTGAATTGTTTGGTAATACTTTGTTGAGAAATTTTGCATCTATGTTCACAAGAGATACTGGCCTAAAATATTATTTTTGTAGTATCTTCATCTGGCTTTGGTATCAGGGTAGTGTTGGCTTCATAAAATGAGTTTGGATATGTTACCCCCTCTTTAGTTTTTTGAAAAAGTATGAGGAATGGCATTAAGTCGTCTTTAAATGTTTGGTAAAATTCACCAGTGAAGCCATATGGTCCTGGGCTTTTCTTTGTTGGTGGATGTTTGATTATTGATTAAATCTTAGTCGTTATTGGTCTGTTTACATTTTCTATGCATTCATGATTCAGTCTTGGTAGGATGTATATAAGTAAAAATTTATCTGTTTCTTCCAGTTTATTGGACTTATTGGCCTACAATTGTTAATAATATTTTCATATTATCCTTTTTATTTCTAATTCATTGTATTGTCTCCTCTTTCATTATCTGATTTTATTTACTTGGGTCTCAACTCTTTGTTTTAAGCCTTTAACTAGATTAAACTAAATCAGCAAAAGGAAAAGGCAACCTATGGAAAAGGAAAAATATTTGCAAATGATATATCTGATAAGGGATTAATATACAAAACACATAAGGAATTAATGTAACACAATAGCAACAAAACAAGACAACAAACAGCCTAATTAAAAACTGAGCAAAGAACCTGAATAGACATTTTTCCCAAAGAAGATGTACAAATTACCAGCAGGTATATGAAAAAAAATTTCAATATAATGAATTGTCAGGGAAATTCAAATAAAACCCCAGTGAAATATTACCTCAAAATTGCTAGAATGCCTATTATCAAAAAGTCAAAGACAGCAAGTATTCACAAGGATGTAGGAAAAAAAAAAAAACTTGTATACTCTGGGTGGGAATACAAATCGATTCACCCATTATGGGAAACAGTATGGAAGTAACTGAAAAATGTAAAAATAGAATTACTATGTGATACAACAATCCTACTCTTGGGTATATATCCAAAAATAAAAATAAAATCAGTATTTCAAAGTTATATCTGCAGTTCTATGTACACTGAAGTATTAGTCACAATAGCCAAGATAAAACAACCACCTAAGTGTCCGTCAGTGGTTGAATGGAAAAGGAAAATGTGCGTATATATGCAATGAAATATTATTCAGCCTTAACAAAGGAGGAAATTCTACCACTTGATACAACATGAGTGATACAGGACATTATGTTAAGTGAAATAAACCAGACACAGAAAGAGAAATACTACGTATTATCATCAACATTAGGAATGTATAAATATTGAACCCATAAAAACAGAGTAGTATGGTGGTTACCAGGGTCTGGGGGAGTGGGAGAAATGGGAAGATTTTAGCCAAAGGGTACAAACCTTCGGTTAAAAGATGAATAATTTTTAGAGGTCTAATGCAAAGTATGGTGACTACAGTCAATAATAATGAATGTACTGTACACTTGAAACTTGCTAAGAGAAATCATAAGTATTCTCACCAAAAAAAAAAAAATGGGTAACTATGTGGTGATGGATATGTTAATTAGCTTGGTTATGGTAATTATTTCATAGTCAAATTATTACAGTGTACACCTTATATATCATTTTGTCAATCATACCTCTATAAAGCTGTGCAAAAGAAAAAAGTGGACAACATGTACTCTACAAATGCACGTAATACATCGGGATCATTACTCATTTTAAAAAGCAATTATTGTTGGCTAAAGTTTAAAATTTCCTGGAATCATTTCAAATAGGATTGCTAAAATCAGTTGTTCAGAGTCCTTGAAGGAACATTTCAGTTATGTTGATTGCTCATTTTCTTTCTGTCTCTCTCTCCCCATCTCTCTCTTTCTCCATCTCTCTCTTTCTCCCCTTTCTTTCCTCCTTCCCTTCCACAACCCCCTCTCTTCTTATTCTGGTTGCTGCTAAGTTCTGTATAGAAACAATTGAGCACCTTGGTTGTCAAGGACATTTCTAGAAGCTAGATTACAGAGTCCTTGGGGCTAAGAATTACTATGTAAAGTCTAGGGTTCCATACAGAGTTCTAGAATTAGGGATTATGGGGATGTATTATTGAGAAAACTGTGTTGTAAAGCACATTATTGGCATGCTTTCATTTATGGACAGTTTCAACACAGTAGTTGATGTTCTTAACTCTGCCTTCCAGTAGTTACCATGTACTCAGGTTCCCAAATCTTAACCTGTCTCACTGTGGCCCTCCCCACTTTGTATCTTGTCTAAAACATGGATGAACTATGGCTGTGGTTAGGGGGTTTGAGAGTGGTAGAATGAATGAAGGTCCAAAGGCTCAATCCAGCTATCTCTACAGACTTATCTTCCTACTTACCTGTTCAAACCAACTCACCTTGCCTAACCTAATTACTTACCTATTTTCCATCTCCACTTACCCACCTACTTTCCTAACTTTTCATAATACAGTGAATGTTATATAAGTTATTTTTTAAAAATTTCTAAAAATGATAAGACTGTGCTTTATATATTTTTAACTTTCTATGTTGAGATTATTAGACTTAGAACAGAGTTGCAAAATAGTACTAAAAATTCCCAGATGTTCTTTATTCAACATTTCCTAATTTTAGTGTTATATATAACCATCTTACAATTACCAAAATTAAGAAGTTAACAGAGAGAATGCCACTTACTGAACTAGTTACTCAGATTTCACCCAGTTTTACATGAAAATCCTTCTTCTGTACCAAGATAAAATTCAGAATTCCAAATGTTTAGAGTTGTCATGTCTCCATAGTCTCCCCCAATATGAAACATTTTCTTAAACTTTTCTTTTCATAAACTCCAAAGTTTTGTAGAATACTGGTTACCTATTTTGTAGAATATTTTTCAATTTGAGTTTGATATTTTTTGAAATCAGATAGAGCTGATTAATTATGTAAAGTTCATGAGACCCCTGGGCATGATATGAGAGGGTATTATCCCCACAACTACTTTCCTGTAATTAATGAGTGTTTTGGAGCCACTGGATAGTACAAAACTATGTGAATAGCCTTTGCATCTTATCAATTTCAAAAACCTTAAATCCATGTATTTCAAAACCAAACCAAATATTTCTATGATGCTGTAATGGTGATTTTCTAGTTTTCTCATTTTAGTACACTTATTAATTGAGATTATTTTGTAAGAAAGAACTGTTTCCCAATACTCATACTTATTTATTAATTCAGTTATGTACTTACATTAGCATGGACTCATGGATATTTATATTATTCTTTGATTATGATCCAATACTATCATTATTTATGTTGCTAATATTATTCTTGCTGTGACCGTTGTAGTTTTTGCAGATTAGCTCCTTGCAATATGTACCCATTCTATCTGGCACATGGTGAAGAGGCTTGCTTTCTTTTAGGTACCACAAGATGCTCCTACGTCACATTGGGTTTTGCCTATCCGTCCTGAAAACAATCACTTTTCCTAGTAAGTTGTTTTATTGGGGTGTGGTATTTATAAACTAGGGCCTAGGTGTTTGGTGTTTTCAATGCTACTGTGGTGTCACAGTTCCTGCATTCTTTCAACAAACAGAGCTAGGAAATGCGTGAATGTATAATAACCCACACAAACACACACACACACACACATATATATATAAATAATTATTTTTGTCTTTTTGCATATATATTTTAAATAGGCCATAATAACATCTGATTCCAATCTAGCAAAGGAGGTTTTATTTATTCTAGTCTTCACTCTTATTTGTAACTTCTTTCTCTTATGGTTTCTCTGAAACTGTCACTCAACACTAGTGTGCATATAGACTTGCCTGCTCTTAAACAAGTTTATCGACCACACGCAGTGTTTGTGATTTTTCTTTGTCTTAAGTCTTACAGCATCCAATCAAAATAGCTTTGAAAATGGTTATTCAGGTCCATCCTCTTCAAAGGAGTGAGATTATTCATTGATAACTCAGAATCATTTGTTACAATCTACATTCTATCTTGAGTTCCCTCCGTATCCTTGTAGATTTTTAAAAAATTTAAACAGTTAAATTCATTATTTGTGGTACATAGTTCTACCATTTGAAAACACCCAAAAAACTCTACCAGAAATTAGATATTTACCAACACAATTTTATGTAGAACAGTTGTATAACCCCAAGAAGTTCTTTGTGCTTCTCCATTTTAGTCAGCAACCCACTATACCCACACTTCTAGCCATTGTTGGTCTATTTTCTGTGTGATTTTGGTCATTGCAAATAGAAATCATATGAAGTAGACTATTGCTTCTTGCTTTTTACAACCTAGCAAAATGTTTTAAAGATTTATTCATATCATTGTATAAGAACTGCTTCTTTACTTAACTATCTCTCTTTATTTTCCTTTTTATTAAATGGCTCAGTAGTGTTTCATTATATGGGTATACAATGATACTTCACTGCTTGAAATTTACTAAGTGTTTTAAAAATTTGACGCATTTGAATAAAGCTGCTGTAGGCATTTGTGTCAGTGGTGTGTGTGTGTGTGTGTGTGTGTGTGTGTGTAAATACCTTTCTGTTATCTTGGGTAGATTACCATGTGAAAGAAAAATATCTTGGGGCTCCAAAATCACTAAGCTAAAGGAAGTCAAGCTGGGAACTGCTTAAGCCAAACCTGCCTAAGCTTTGAATTATTTTATTCAAAGTCACCCCTCTCCTCACTGAGATAAATGCATATCTGATTGCCTCCTTTGGAGAGGCTAATCAGAAACTCAGAAAAATGCAACCATTTGTCTCTTATCTGCATATGACTTAGAAGTCCCCTTCCCCACTTCTAGTTGTCCTGCCTTTCCAGACTGAACCAATGTTCATCTTACATATGTTGATTGATGTCTCGTGTCCCTAAAATGTATAAAACCAAACTGGGTTCTGACCACCTTGGACACCTGTCTTTAGGATGCCCTGCAGCTGTGTCATGGGTGTGCATCCTCAACCTTGGCAAAATTAACTTTCAAATTAACTGAGACGTGTCTCAGATTTTTGGGGTTCACACCTGTTAATAATTAAGAGTAGAATATCTGCAACATATTACCATATGTTTATATTTAATTTTATGAAAAACTGCCAAACTATTTTCTTTTCCATAGTGACTATCACTTTGTATTCCTACCAGTGATGTATGAGAGTTCCAGTTGCTCCTTTTACTCCCAGTATTTGCTATTATTTTTAAATTTTATTTACTTATTGATTTATGCCATTCTAGTAGGTTTAGAGTGGTCTCTCATTGTGGTTTTTATTTGTGTTTCTCCAGTGACTAATGATGTTGATCATATTACTATGTGCTTATTTGTTATTCATATATCATCTTTGGTGGACTGTCTGTTTAGATATTTTGCCCATGTTTTATTGGGCTATTGGTCTTATTTTGAGTTGAAACCTTCTATATTCTCAACTGAAGCTTTTTTGTAAGAAATACAATTGGAAAACATTTCTTTATATTTAAAATGGGATTATTGTGTATGACATTTATGTGGTCTTGCTTTTCTTTCCAATTTTATGATTTCTCCTTTTCAATAGTATGTTTACTATTCACATTTAATATAATTATTGATAAAAATTAAACTAAAATCTGCCATTTGTTTGTGTATGTGTTCCATTCAATTTTGTTTCTATTTCCTTCTTTTTCTGTCTTTTCTTGCATTATTTAAATATATTATGATTCCATTTTATCTCTGCTACTTACTTATCATTAAAACCTTTTAAAAAATTTTAGTAGCTTTCCTAGGATTTAAATTATATATCTTTATTAATTTGAAGATTACCTTCATATAATGTTATATAGTTTTAATATGTAATTTTAGAACCATACAATTATGTAGTCTCAAGTCTTCCTATATTTGTGTCATCGCTGTCAAATATTTAATATATGTTATAAATACACACATCCTTCCTGCTCAAGAATTTTTTTAGTGTTTCTAAACAATGTGAATCAACCTCCAAATAACATTGTGCCACTCCACATGTAGTTTAAGAGCTCATAGCAGTATATTCCCAAGTCTTCTGTTTCATACATTGTGCCATTATTACTACATATTTTACATTTACATACATTAAAAACACAAAATTAACTGCCATTATTTTAGCTCTAAATAACCAGTTATCTTTTAGAGCAATTACAAATTTAAAAAAATGACTTTTATATTCATTTATTTCATTTACAATGCTGGCCATTTTGTTGTGCAGATCCAAGTTTCCCATCATTATTGATACAAGAGTTAAGAAGAAATTACTTTGGCTGATAGTGAGGATACCGAAGTCCTCAGTAAGTTTTTCCTTTTAATGAAAGGCAGCCCCGAATCATTTTCATTTCTAACAAAGAGCAGCCTGTAAAGTCGAGCTGCAGACGCAGATGCCAACAGCTGCACCAGTCAAGTTCAAAATGGCAGCTCCATCTTCTCTTCTTTGCCAGCCAGGTATACAGTAAGGAGCAGACAAGATGGCACGGGCCAAGGGGAAAGTTCATTTACATAATAAGATTAGGGTGGGGCAGCCAGCCTTCTCCTCGAGCTATGTAAATGTCATTAACTTTACAGCCATTGATTTTTTTCTACCCAGCACTACTGAGTCCTCTGATGACCTGTCAAAAGCAGTCCTCTTCTCAGTTGTATTTTTCACTTGAATTGTTCATATTTGAATGTTTCTTATATTTTCCTTTTTGTTCTTGCTGAAATTCTTCTGATTTTGCGTGTGGTTCACCTTCTCCTTTAGAACCTTTAGCATATTAGTCATGGTTGTTTTGAAGCTGTGGCATGGTTCCAACATCTATGTCATATCTGATTCTGCTAATGCTGATTGCTTTGTCTTTGGAATTATGTTGTGTATTTGTGTGTTATTTTTAATATACCATATTTTTGTGGAAAGGTGAATATCTTGATAAGAATAGTAGAGACTTGTGTGATTAACTATATGTCTAAAAATGGCCAAAGCATTCTTCCTGATAGGACTTCAGTGTAAGCATTTGAGTTTTTTTAGTTGGGATTTGGGCTGGATTTGAAGTTTATTAATGTGATTATCTTTGCTGGGTCACAGGCTTTCAATTCCTCTAGCAAAACTTTCTGTTTAGAGTAGGGGCTTATTTGTCAGATAGTTTTTCTCATAGTCTACATCACACTGAGCTTTTGCATTCCACCTCTGAAAGGATATTTTTCATACTCATGTCCCTTTCCTATCCTTGTACAACATTATTTTCCAGTTTTTTATGATTTGAATCTTGTTAGCCTAGTGAGAGGCATGCAGGATATTGCCTGTTATTCTGATTACTTCTTGGTTTTAGCAGGCACAATGGGCCCTGGGTGTGTGGTCTTGCCAATACTCCTGATATTCCATGGCTATAGATCTTGATTCGGCATTTTCTCCACCCCTACTCCAGGGATAGATTTTTTTTTTTTTAATCTGTTTCCCTCCTCTAGCTGCAATAGGTTTTCACTAGTGTCCTTAAGTTGCCACAGTTTGTTACCCTCTGAATCAGTGTCCTGAGGCTGCTCTAAAAAATTACCAAAGACTTGGTGGCTTAAGACAAAATAATCACTCTCAATTCTGGATGCTGGAAGTCTAAAATCCAGCAAGGTTGTGCTCCCTGTGGGTACTCTAAAAAAAAAAAAAAAAAAAAATCCACTATTTACCTCTTCCAACTTTTAGGGATGGCCCTGGCATTCCTAGGCTTATAGCTCTAACTCAGTCTTGATATCACCCTCTCTTCTATCTTCTCCTCTGTGTGTCTATCTTATAAGAACACATGTTATTGCATTTAGGGCCCACCCAGATAATCCAAGATAAAGTTCTGTTTTCAAAACCCTTAATTTAATTATACCTTGTGTCATATGACTTAATTTCATAGGTTTGGGAATTAAGGCATGAATATCTTTTGAGAGGTCACTATTCAACCCATTATATTTTACGACTCACATAACAGAGATAGAACAGTGTCCAATGGAGTTGCATGATTCTCTGGCAGTGGTTACTATTCCCTCCCCCAAACCTGTACCTCAAGAAACATTTTGTTAGGACTCACTACAGTCTTTTTTGTAAGCTCTTGCTGGGGTAACTACATAAAAAAATCCCAAAGAGGGTATTGACATCTGGAATTTCTGTCATCCTCAGGGACATTAAGCTTTATCACCAGTACATACCTGTCTTCTACCAAATTTTCAACCAAACTCTTATTACCAGTGTCCACTTGTGTCTATCTTACTTAAGCCAGTGTTTGCATCTTGTCTTTCCTTGCAGTTTTTTTTCCCCTCCTTAGACATTTTTTCTAGCTTATTGCCTTGCAATTCCATCTTCCTGATAGGATCAAGAAAAGTTGTGAATTTGCATGGGGTATCATCACTGAGAAATATAGTTTGCTAATTTGCCTCTTGTAAAATTATATCTTGCTGTTAATTAATTTGCACATATCTGATTAGTAGTAAAAATGTTTGTTTAAATAGTTGAGACTTCCACTTACATTTTTATTTATGAAGAAGAAACTTCATCACATTTAAAGAACTCTTTCTTCATTCTCTGTGCCCCCAGCCTCAGGAACAAGTTCTTGATTTTTTTAATCAAATGGTCACTTTCAGATTAGTATCTTCTACAACCTGCCAAGTTTTAACCTAGAAATTGCTGTTTCTCATCCTCATTGTCTTAAGATTCTATTTTCCTCTTTCCAAGGGAAATTTTACACCAATAGGTTGAAGTTCCATTTTAAAGCTAAGTAGCCACAGTGGTATTAAACAAGGGGGTGGTGAGATGAAAGCTGGATCTAATTGAAAGTAGAATCAATTTAGCAATTTTTTTTGCTAATTTCTAATGATTGATTAATAGACTCCATAATACTACATAAAACTCTAAAATCTTGATTTTTTCAGGGATATTTTGGGGAAAACAAAATTAGAAAAAATTTTATATTTTGAATTTTTTCTTGCAGATTATGATATAGAGATTTGATTTTATTAGAGTATAAGCATCCCTCCCAATGCCTCAGAAGTTTATCAGTCTAAGTCAGAGGTCAAAATAACAAAAACTATCCCAAAGGATTTATTCTAAGTAATAAAACTGAATAATGCTTGTACCCCTGTTTTCCATGTTAACAATGCCAAGGTACAGAGAAAAGGAACCTATTAATTCCCATTTCAAGAAGACATTGTCTTCCTATTAAGAATTTATTGTGGATCAATGGACAGAAATATCCAAGGGATGTTTTAGTCCAGTCAAGGTCAGTGAGGTCAACAAATCTGTCTTCCTGCTTCTAAAGAGTTCTCAGGAAGATTAAACAGCTGATATCATCAAAAGATGTGTAGATAAGGAGTTTGCAGAACTCAATTCTCATCCTAATCTTATTATTGACTAGTTTTGTTACTGGACAAATTTATTCAGGACTATAGGTTACTCAATTAAAAAATGACAGAAATAGAACCTAATAGTCCCAAGGGCAGCTATAAAATTCTGTGGGACAGACATTATTTCCTATCTTAAAACTTGCCAAGCAAAGTAATTTCATATCTTTCCTATAAGGTATTCCCAAAGATCTGTACAGAGACAGTATATATCTTGCACTGTACTTAAGTATCTTAGTGTGTGTTGTTTAAGGAAGTTGGATCATACGCATGTTAAGTAGTCTCCATTCAAGTTTCTCCACCACATTTGGTAATTTTTTGTCAGTCAGAACCTCAGTGATTGTAAGTATGTTTGGCACCTGATACTGTTGAGGTTAAGAAAAGTCAGAGTAGTGGTTAATTATATGGGTTCTAGAGTCAACTGGCCTGAGTTAGAATTATCAATTATCTTTCACTAGTCTTGTGACCTTAGGCAAGTAAATTTAACTTATTGAATTTTAATCATTCTTACCTATAAAATTACGACTCTACTAAACCAACCTACTGAGCCAAATGGGAATGTGAAATGGGCCTTCCATGTAAATCATAGTGCTAGTACATAAGGACAATCCAATATATGATAGTTGTTATTTTTATCCACCCAAACCCCTCTATCTGAGCTATTTTTAGAAGCTATAAAGTATTGTTTAAAATATGGCTGATGTTTCTAGGTAAGTTGTGGCATAAAGCTGTTTCCTTACTTTGTTCTTCTATAAAAGTGGACATTATTAAATCGAGCTAATAAACTCTGACTCATAGTCCCTACTTCTACCTCTATCTTATTAAGTTTTTGGTCTTTCTAGAATTACTTTATTTCATAGAATAGTCCCCTTGTAAGAAATTTAGAGACATAAGAGAATTTTCTCATTGATTCTTTGGCTTTCATTCTGCTAAAGACAGATACCTCTATGCAGCCTATTCAGATAGAGCAGATTGTTAAAACCAGACCTCTCCCCAGTTTATTTCTCAGATATTTACTGAGCATTTACTGTGTGTCATGTAAACTTCTAGATGCTGTAGTGGATAGTGAGAATATTGGGAATTTTAATTTTTTTCTTGCCTCAGTAAGTGAAAGTCTGCTATCCACTGACTCTTCATCACCACGAATGTCAGAATTCAAATCCTCAGTATCTGAGAGATCTCCACGGAGTGTGATTGGTGGTGGTAGGTTTAGTAAAAAGTCAGCAGCCAGACAGTCTCTCACTCCAAAGTCTCCTCTCATCCGTACTGCAAATGGAGTCTGCAGCCTGAAGGAAGGGGCCCATTTCCCCTGCTAACGTTTATAAAGTTTCTTGATTGTCCATGTGTGTCCCTTTCTTTCAAGCTTTACATATCTGAGGTTTTATTTTTCTTCTTCCTTCTTCCTGGATTTTCCCCCTCCCTTAACTTTAGATCTCTAATCTGCACCACCTTTTGTATTTTCTCTTTCAAAAATTTTAAATTTTTTGACAAAGATTATGTATATTCAATGTGATGATTAGATATTGTATACATTGTACAATGATCATCACAATGAAATTAACCCAATCTACCGGTACTCATGCTTGTACATTTGATCCCCAGAACTTATTCATCTTGTAACTGAAATCTTGTACCTTTTGGCCATCCCCGCAGTGCCCCTGCAGCTGCTGGCTACCACCTTTCTACCCTCTGCTTCTATAAGTTTCACTTTTTTAGATTCCATATTTAACTGAGATAATTTCTCTTGCCTGACCCTCCCCGTGGAAGGAATATTGCAAATATACTTTTTTCCCCCGCAAATAAAACATTTTGTTTATTATACTAATAAATCTTCTTTGGGTTTACCAAACTCCCACAGAGGCTCTGAAGAATTTATATGGAAATTAAGGCAGCAATACATCTGCTTAATTAGACAGAATTAGACAGATGTACTCATAAAAGGAAACAGGTATCTGCTGGAATGGAAGGAGGATTGGGTTGGGAGGGGAATTCCTTTTCAGCTGTTTTCATAGGTTAATTTAGGGGTTATCTTACAGGCTTCAGTCTCTTGGGATAATACCCTGCTCCACAGGAAAGGAGAGGATAAGTTCTCTTTTATATCCAATAAAGAATCCAAATTAACCTCTCTCCCCACTGTGATGTAATTAATACTAAATTTAAGGAAAGCAGGTTGCGGATTTCCAAAAGGATGGCAGTGCTCTAGCAACTTTACTGGTATAGAATTGCGCGTTAGACTCATCACCTGGAATGTTTTAAAAATGCTTATGACTAGGGTCGCCTAAACCCAATTAAGTAAGGTATGGGTCTTAGTGTGAAAAAAAAATCAGAATTCAAAATTATTGGTCCATGTTTTCCACCAGGCCTATTTAAACAATTTAGTAACAGTAATGGGCCCAATTAAAGTTGCTCAACCTTGTCTTTTTTAACACAAACATTCATGCAAGTACTCAGAACCACTATGGACATTGACAAATGCAAACATAGACAAGACACAAAGAAGTAAACACCATGCTTATAGTAATACACACCCCCCCCTCCCCGCCCCGACACACACAGAGATCACACATAGGAAAGAGATCCAGAGATCTACAGATGCAGGTCCATATAGACTTAAGTACTGGTACAGAGAAAGAAACATATATATATTTGTACACATTCAGAAGGAAATTTATATAAACTTAGTCTGATGCACACAGACCATCTGAAATACTCTACAAAAGGTAAGAATCATAGAATGAATGTCGCGGTTTGTAAATTATATCTAAATAAGGATGTTGAAAAAATAAGAAAGTATCACTGAGATAGACACCTAGAAAACAAAAACATAAGAGGAGACACACACTCAGGAACTCATCTTTGGAAGTTTTGGGGTCTTTGTTATTGTGTATAGGCTCTTAGAGTAGCATTGTGGTGTTATTTGCCACCTATCAGTGGATATATTTTTGTCACGCTCACTTGCAGCCTCCTTGGCTCCTTGCCCAGGAGAACGATGTAGAAGGCAGGGTTGGAATTATAACCTTCAAAGAGATAAATTATACACATTTTATTGAAAAAGGAGATTCTGCTGAAATTTTCCTCTCATGGGAACCCAGAAATTTGCATAGCAGATAAAGAATATTTCACTGGTTTTGGACGCTGATAGAGCTCAAGACAACAGAACAAAATAGCCTGTAATAATGATAATGTATAATATATCTTTGGTCTTTTATAATATAGTAAGTTTTCTTGTAACTAACTCAGTTAATCATATGACAAATTTGTTCCCTATAATCTCATTTGATCTTCAAAGCAAACAAGTGAATAAAAATTTATTATCAACATTTTACATTTGTCAAAATTAATGCCGAGAGGGTTTATATAACATTTTTTAGGTCATCCAGCTACTAAGTTACATGTTTTAAAGTCAAATGCATGTCTGATGGGGCTCTGAATCTGTGCTTTCAGCAACTGTATGCCACTGATCTCTGCAAACACTGAGCTTGGGATTGATCTTATGGCTATTCTTTGCATACAAGAAAACTGAAGATCAGAGAGGCTGTTTTGTCCCAGGCTCCTGGGGACACACACAAAACTTGAATCTAATGTTCTGATCCCTGTTCTAGGATTGATTGGACCCAAGAAATAAGCCTTTGACCCATTCCATGGGCTATACGTAAACTGGACTCGGTGAAGAAACTGAAGCTTAAGAAATCTGGCTGAGCTAAAACTACAGTGGCCATGCCTTGAGCATACTCAAAAGGAGTCTGGATTCTCCTAGAAAGCAATGGGCTCAGAGGCCTTCTCTACTTCTCCCACTTCTTTATTCCTTCTTTGGGGACTGTGACACTGCTTTCTCTGGCATTGGGGTTAGTGATATCTCAGAAAGCTCTTGGAGGGGACTACATCCCAACCCCAAGAGCAGTGGTACAGCCTTGACTTCAGGAGAAGTTTCATCTTTTTGCCATTTTCTTAAAGTGGGGGTTTGACTAGAATGATAAATGATCACATTGTAGATCACATTGATCACATTGTAGAATTTCCTCTAAATTCTTCTCCCAGAATCTGAGTGTGATTATGAACTTCCCTGTCATTCCACAGTTTTTGAGCATGCATCATAATCTTGGCTCTGTGATTGGCTCTATGTGGATTAGAGTGAGAGACCTGTTCCAAAGAGCTCATGCCTTAATTATGAAGAAAAATGATGATTACATATTATGTAATAACTAGAAACCATTAGGCCTACATTGTCAATAAGGCAAGAATTGGTTCTTGGGGAAGGGCAACAAATTGTTAGTCGGTACAATGATTTGTGGCTCTGTCTCCAAATTTCAACCCTTCTTGATACAATCTTATTTTTTAATATTTAATTCCAAGGGTAAATGATTGGGATAAAAAGATGTTTAAGGTTTCTTAGGGAGGCGATAATGAAAAAAAAGGTCAATAAACACTGTTAGATTATATATCTTAGATCTTCATGTTATTCCTATTACCATTTCAAATTGTTGCCAACTTTAGAAATTAATGGATTTTATTTTAAAGTGTAAATTCCTGGTTTTTGTTTAAAAACAAAATTTAAAAGATCTGGCAAATCTGGTTCCGTGGTTCGTCCGGCAATAATTGGCCAGGTCTGGGGAGCAGCCTCATCTTTAGGGAGGTCTTGTGTATCTGTTGTTCACCCCATTCCACCATTCGCAATTCATTATGTCCATTCTGACCTGTTTCTCTCATGAAAGTTATCTGTTTGGCCACTGAAGGGATCTATGTACATTCTCAGTATTCAGATATAAAATAATTACAAATTCAGCAACAGATATTTTAGCAGTCTAGGGAGGAAGAAGTCAGCAAGAATTTGAGTGTTAAATGATGGATTCATAAAGGAAGTGGGAATCAAGATTTCTTATAACAAGTTAAGATTGAGTAAGGCAATGAAAAAGGATACTTGAGTGAAAGGTCCATAAGAGGAAAAGATTGACACAAAATTAAATTCTGATGCACAAAAGACCCACTGTTCAAAGTAAAACTTTTAAACCTTTAGGATACAATGTAAGACATTATATTTACAGCTTAGGTTTGGAAGAATTTTCTTTTTTAAATGACACAGGAAAGGACAAACCATAAAGGAAAAAGTAGATAAGTTTGAATTCATTAAATGGAGAAACATCTGTTCATCCAAATATATCATAAACAAGGTAAAAAGACAAGGACCAGACTTTGAGGAGATGTTTGCAATGCAAAATACTGACAAAAGATAAGTATCCAGAATTTACAGAGAATGTCTACAAATCAAAATGAAAGAAATAAGCAATCCGGTGAAAAAAATGGGCCAAATGTATGGAAATGCCATTTACAAAACTTAAAAGCCAATAAATACATGAGCGCCTGCTCAATCTGACATAGTGTCAGGGAAATGTAAATTAAAACCTTAGGAAGACATCATTCCATAAGCATCGTACTTACAGGAATCTAAAGCTAAATGACTCCTAAGGGCTGGGCAAGGACATTGCAAATTTGTAAATTTCACAGTGTTTGAGTCAGGGATGTTCTCTTTGGAGGACAATTGACAATATTTAATAAATTGTATTATTTACATACCTTTTGACACAGCGAGTCTACCACTAGCTCTGTACCTTGAAGGAATTTTCACATGTGTGCAAAAGAGGATGAAAACTTGAATGTCCATGATATCATTGTATAGGATTGGGAGAAAAAGTTGAAAACATCTTAAATGATCCTCAACAGAAAAAAAAAATACATTGTGATATATTCATAAAATTAAAAATAATAATAGGGAAAAATAAATATGATACAACACATATCAAGTTAGCTAAATCTTGAAAACCTTGAAAGGATAAAAATGTACAGAAATACACACAGTGTTATAATTTTACTAAGTATAAAAGCATGTAAAACAAAAAACTGAATAACATGATCGCAGCGGAACTTGGAATAGAAATGAGTCTGTGTAAGGGGAGATAAGGCTGCCAAGATCTGGCACAGGGCACTTTGAGGCCTGGAGTAGGAAAGCATGTGGACAGCTTCAGTTTGTTGTAAAACTTTGAAAGTTGCTATGCTTTCATTGTCTGATCAAGCAACCCTCGACAAGATCTTTTCACAAGGCTGTTACCTGGGGGAAAATAGCCATCGTAGATTCATGTAGAAGACAGTAGTTTCTAGTTTTAAAAATTGTATTTGAAAAAATAAGAAAGAGTCTTTACAGAGCAGCTAGTCCTGAGAGAAAAAAAAATCAGTCAGTGTTATCTTTGGTATGGACATCATGTAGGAGGAAAGACTTAGGCTCCCGTAGAACATGCACTTAATTAGATAAACTCGATCTCCATGTTCAGATGTTTGCAACGACCTTACTGTTCTCACCACCCTCTGTCCAGGCCTACAGTCAGCCTCTTGCATAGGCTCAAATCTCCTCAAAGCTATGTCTTTTCTAGACTTGAAAATTCTACTCCCCCTCTCAAAACCCCCAGATCCTTATTATTCCCTGAATCAAGTCTCAGTCCTGAAGCCTCTAAGGTGGTGGTGTTATGTGTTTTCCTTTTTAAATAGGCTTTATATTTTACAGAAGTTTTGGGTTCACAGAAAAATTGGGCAGAAAGTATAGAGGTTTTATAAACCCTGTACGCCCAGGCTCAGCCTCCTTCACTATCCACATCCTCACCAGAGTGCCACATCTGTTACAATTAGTGAACCTACATTGACACATCATTATCAACCATCATCCATAGTTATACTAGAGTTCACTCTTGGTATTGTACCTTCTATGAGTTTTGAAAAATATATAATGACATATCATATAAGTCCATTCTTGCACTGCTATAAAGACATACCCGAGACCGTAATTTATAAAGGAAAGGAGTTTAACTGACTCACAGTTCCACATGCCTGGGGAGGCCTTGGGAAACTTACAATCATGGCACAAAGGAAAGGGGAAGCACTCACCGTCTTCACAAGGTGGCAGGAGGGAGTGAATGAGAGAAGGAAGTGCCACACTGTAAAACCATCAGCACTCCTAAGACTCACTCACTATCACGAGAACAGCATGGGGGAAACCTTCCCCACAATCCAGTCACCCCGCATTAGGTTCCTCCCTTGACACATGGGGACACTTGAATTACAATTCAAGATGAGATTTAGGTGGGAAGACAGAGCCAAAACATATCACGTATATACCCACTGTCATACAGAATAGTTTCCCTCCTGAGGACTAACTAAGCTCTGATTGTTTCGTCTTGCCCAAATTCCTATCCAAGGGGCCTGGGGAGTCATGCCCTACAAACCATCAATTATCATCAGATGGGTTTTATCTAACCCTATATATGACTTACATTCCAACCTGCCCCTGGCGCCTAACATTACAACGAGACAAGGAAGAAAATCAAAATATTTTACCCCCAAAACATGTTTCTTTGCCGTATTTTGAAACAGTGCTGCAAAGCTGTCCTTTGTGGGGAAAAATGTGCGTCTGTAAAGAATCTCCATTAACATAGCTAGATCTTTTTCTTCCAGGCCTTCTCAATCCTGAAGAGATTAAGTAAGAGTCTAGCATATTTTAAAGATCTGAAAATTAGAAACATTTGTCATCTATTGTCTTTCAGTGCAGCTACTATAAGACTTCAAAAGAACCTTGGTCTCCACAGTCTTTTATCTTAACCTGAACATTTCCTTTATATATTGATCCCAGATCTTTAGACAAACTCAACCAATTGTCAGTCAGAAAATGTTTAAATTTACCTGTAGCCTGGAAGCACCCCCAACCCCCACACTCCCACTTTGAGTTGTCCTGCCTTTCTCAACCAAACCAAAGTATTTCTTAGATGTATTTGATTGATGTCTCATGCCTCCCTAAAATGTATAAAACCAAGCTGCACCTCAACTACCTTGGACACTAGTTCTCAGGACCTCCTGAGGGCTGTGTCACGGACCATGGTCACTCATATTTGGCTAAGAAAAATTACAGTTTGACTCTTTTTGTTAACACTCCCTGAAAATCTTCCATGTTACACCTTTCATCACTCCTTTCCTACTGTCCCCTAACAACCATATATCTTTTAACAGTGTCCATAGTTTTGACTTTTTCCAAATATCATAGAGTTGAAAGCATACAGTATGTAGCATTTTTAGATTGGCTTCTTTCACTTTGTACTAATATGCGTTTAACGTTCCTCGATGTCTTTTCATGGCTTGATTGCTCATTTCCTTATAGCAACAAATAGTATTCCATTGTCTGGATGTACAATCATTTATTGTTCACTGCACATATAACCAAATCACATGTTCAGTTGCTCACTGCTTACAGAGTCCAATTAACAAGAGCAAGGTGTGAGATGAAGAAAACGATTTTTTATCCTAAAGCTAGGGTACCGCTTCCACTTTGGGGCAGAAAGCAGGGCCTTTTAAAAGGAAACGAGGCATGGACAGCATGCAGGGAAGGGGCAAGTGAGTGGGGGTCTGCATGACTTATCTACTGGGTGGTCAAGCTGGAGCCTTCATGGGTAGAACAGCGTTGTAAGGTGGCTGTTGTCTTGAGATACCCTCTGAGGTGGGAGAGAGTTTCATAGAGACCATACTTTAGGTTGTACATTGACTGTTGTCTCTTGAGGCAATGTTCTGGTGGGAGAGAGTTCCAGCTCTGGAGCTTCTAAGTAAGCAAATAGTTAGATAAGCTCGCCCTATAAGGAATGTCTGGTGAAGGGAAGATAAAGGTTATAATTGAATTTCTAAAGAGTTAAGTAGGAAGTGGGGAAGAGGAGGAAAGAGAAAAAAAGAAAACATAATTTAAAAAATTACTCATTTTCATTCTTTTAGAAAAATGAGGGTACTCAGTTACACACCTACTGAAAGATATCTTGGCTACTTCCAAGTTTTGGCAATTATGAATAAAGCTGCTATGCACATCTGTGTGCAGAGTTTTGTGTAGACATAAGCTTTTAACTTGTTTGGGAAAATATCAAGGAGCAAGACTGCTAGGCTGTATGGTAAGAGTATGTTTAGTTTTGTAAGAAATAATCTCTTTTTTAAAGTGACTGTACCATTTTGCTTCCCACTAACAAGGAGTGAGAGCTCCTGTTGCTTGACATCTTTGTCATCATTTGGTGTTGTTAGTGTCCTGTATTTGGGCCATTCTAGTAGGTAAGTAATGGTATCTTGTTATTGCTTTAAATTTCCCTAATGACACATGATGTGGAGCATCTTTTCATACGCTTACTTGCCATGTGTATGTCTCCTTTGGTGAAGTAACTATTCAGGTATTTTGCTCATTTTTTAATCAGGTTGTTCATTTCATTGTTTTTGAGTTTTAAGCATTCTACATATTTTGGTACTAGTCCTTCACTGGATGTATTTTGCAAATATTTTCTTTTAGACAGCAGCCCATCTTCTCATTCTCTTGATAGTGTCTTTTGAAGAGTAGAAATGTTTAATGGTAATATACTCCAGCTTATCAAATATTTCTTTTATGGATTGTGTTTTTGGTATACCAAGAAAGTATATTTTGGGTTAGTAAAGCCTCTGCCTTCTGACTCTAGCTTTATTTTCTGCCTTTCTTCACCTAGCCACCTCTTCTTTTCAACAGATGTTTGCTGTGGACTTTGTGAGCAGTGGGGATTGAGAGGGAGCGAGATGACAAAGACAGTATTCTTATGTAGCTCATATACCAAGGTAGAAACAGATCATAAACATACTGACAGAGAATTTCAGAGGATGTTAGTGCTATGAAGTCTGTAAATCAAAAAATACGGTGGAGTGTAACTCAGGATATTAGGGTGGTCAAAGAAGGCTATCTTGAGAAGATGAAATCCCAGCTGACACCAGTAAGATGAGAGTCAGCCATACAAACATCTGTGGGAGGCATGGGTCAGTCTCATGGCTTCCTCCATGCTGCTTATTCTGCCTAGACCACTTCTTCATTGATAATCTGTTTATGAAAGCCCTGCCTCCTTTGAATGCCACCTCCTCCAGGATGCATTTTCTGACCTTCCTCCAATTCAATGCCATCTGTCTTGCTGCTGATGATCCCCTTGGTAGTAAGGCCAGCGTATGCCTTTTGTTAGTCTGGGCTATTTTAATTACAAATGACTGGACCACTGAAATGCGCATAAGAAAAAAGATGGCATACATTGGGTTAGTAAGCAAGCGCTTAAACATGGACAGGTATGAACTTCTAAACCCTGCTTCCTAAAATCAGGAAACTAGTGCATGCTTTTCGAAGGCAGAGATTTATTCTTTCTGACCATGCTAATCATCGTGCCTTACAGACTTTAGATGCTAATAAAATATCTATTGAATAAATCTTTGTGTTCCATTTATCATTGTTTATTATTGACTATTACTTTTTGAGCACTTATGCTGTGCGGAGCACTGTGCTAAGAATTGCTTGTTGCATACCCTTATTTATTCCACGTAAGTAGCCTGTGATTTGGACATTATGATTATTTCTCCCTTACAGTGTTTTCACTAAAAATAGTCAACTACGACAAGACAAAGTAGTATTCCGTGATTTTTTTTTTCTTTGACTCAGAACAACTTGGTAAAGCACAACCCCTTTAAAAACTTCCAACTGACCTACCCTTTCTGCAAGGTGGTAATTTAGGTGAAAGCTAACAACACACAACCTAAAGGGAACTGTCAACAATTTATTTTCCTTAAAGACAAATTATTTGGCTATTGAACCTCCATTAAAGACTTAATTGTAAGGTGTTAATAGATTTGGGAAAGGGGCAGTTATCCATTACTTTAATTTTAGAAATGGAGATTAAAGCACTAGTCTGTTAGAGCTACCTTAGGCTCTAAGTGCCATGTTCATTCATTTCCACGAACAGCAAAGTTCACTGGGTCTAGGGCTGTTACCAGTAGGGTGTGCTCCAGGAAACCATCTATCTCCTGGGCAGTTTCTTTTATCCATTGACCTTTCAATCACTTGTGTTCAGTTTCTGTAAGATGACCAGTCCCCACTTTCACTGCCAGTTATTTTCCAAGATAGACTTTTTTTTTCATTTCATTGTTTCTGTGGAAGATGAATGCCATTCTGACCATGGAGCTAACATTCTTTGCTCACATCACACTCCATCAATGGGTCCATTAGCAACTGGAAATGACACCCAGAAGGAAAATTCTCTTTAGAAACAGGGTGAGAATTTGTTATTGACAACAGTATCCTTTGGATCAGAAAGGCTTACTTGTGATGAATATTCAAAGAAGCTTTCCTAAATCTAAAAGAACTCCTATGTATTTACCTTATTATGCCTTTTGTGCCTGAATTTTCATATTCCTTTATGTTTATCACCATTCTACCTTATACATTTTGACATTTTCCCTTTCATGTGAGATCATGAGATATGCTGAATAGATTTTATCTCCATTTTACACATGAGAAAACGAGAGATCAGGTGGGTTAAGTGACTTGTCCTGCTTTAATCATCCCTCCTCTTATCGCCAAATGACTGGCAGAGGGATTGTATTACTTTCCTAGAGTTACCAAGAGAAAGTGCCAAGAAGTGGGTAGTTTAATCACAGAAACATGTAGTCTGACAGTTTTGGAGGCAAGAGTCTGAAATACAGGTTTTGGTGACGTTGTTCCTTCTGAGGGCTGTGAGCGAAGAATCTGTTCCAGGCCTGTCTCCTTGGCCTATAGATGGCTGTCTTCCTACTCACATGGCATTCTTCCTGCAGGTGAGCCTGTCTCCAAATATCCCGTCTTTATAAAGAGACCAGTCATGTTGGATTAGGGCCCCCTCTTTTAACTAGATACCTCTGTAAAGACCCTATCTCCAAATAAGGCCATATTCTGAGATACTGGGAGTAGGACTCCAACATATAAATTTTGAGGGACACAGTTTGGGGAAACTTAAGGAAATAAATCTGGCTAAGTCACTTCCCACTGGTTATGGAATAAAGTGTAAGTTTCTTGTTATGACCCATGAGTTCTTTCTTCGTGTGGCCTGACCTCAGCCTAATCTGTTACTACTGCCCAACAGAAACTATAGCCATAGTTTACTTAGTGAAAACATTTTACTAAGTATTTATTGAGCTTTTAATATCTATTTATATTATTTATTACAAAACATTTATTGAGCATTTAACATGCTAAGTGTGTCACATGTGTAAATAGTGTACACATATGCTCAGCTCCTAATTATCACCCTATCATAGACTTATTTATCCATTTATTCATTCAATCATTCGTTCATTAGAAGCCTTTTGTAAATGCCGGTTATTGCAAAGCTTTGTTCAAATCGTAGGGTATACAGCATGGCTGCCAAGAAAATTGAAAAAAATATCCCCAGCCTCAAAAACTTACATTCTGGTGGGAGAAAACAGAAACTTAAAGAGAAATTAAAGCATTATACAGTGCTGTAGAAGGAATTTGAATAGGAATGAAGGTACTTCAGGGGCAAGGTGCGATTTTCAAAAATTATGTAAAATAATTTTATACTTATGGAAAACTTGAAGGAACACTCTTCATATTATTCAAATGTCATTCTGAAGTAAATTTAAACTTATAAAGAAGTTACAAGAAGAGTATAAACATGTCATGTATCTCCTTGATCCAGAATTGTCAATTGTTCATTTGCCAGTGTTTGCCCACAACCTATACTCTTTAATCTCTCTCTCTCTCTCTCTCCCCCACCCCCTCACCCCCCCGCAACCCCGTCCACCCTCAACACATTTCTGGCTATGCTGTAATTCCAGTTGACCTCGGCTTCTGGGCACACTATTTTTGCCTATTCATTCTGAGGACCCTGATTATTCATCTATTCACTTCTGCAGCCTTCTCAAGACCCCACCTTGACACTATTGCCTCTGCAATTCCCTTCATTTCCTTAGTCCACATTGCCGCCAAATCTTCAGAGGAAGAGAAAGGAAAAGATTGGAAAGAGAAAGATAAAGATAGGAAGGAAAAGCCAGTGGGATTTGTAAATACGGATGTAGACACTGAAGCTTAGAGGATTAACGTGTGCAAGCTCACCCAGCTAGTAGGTGGTAGAGCATTTCTATCAGACACGAGCAATAGAACTCATTCTTGGCCGCTGTGCTGTATTTTTTCATTTGCTAAGTGGGGAACTGAGGGTTAGAATGGATAAGGAGCTTCCAGGTTATTTGATGACCTGCTGCCCTGTGTAGTGTCTTTAGCCTGAAATCCTGCTCCTTTCCTGCTGCCCCAGAAAATACATCCTCTTCAAAGTTCCGAGCAATCATCACTCTAAGGTAAAATTGCTTCTGATTCTCCTTCATCTGAATGCAGTTGAGCACTTGTCTTTTCTATTTTGCCCCCAGTGCCCTAAAACCTTCTGTGCAGGCTTCAGCCTCATCACCTAATACATTTCAGGACACCTACTCGTCCCCAGCCCCATCTGTCTGCTCCACAGATGGCTTCTCTGTGGCAGTGAGAGGGTCTGACACGGTCATTCTTACATCTTCTGGGCCTGGCACAGAGTAGGTGCTAAGAAATGATTATTGTATAGACAAAAAGAAACAACTTTTTAAACTAGGCAGATCTTTTCAATTATTCTTCCCCCGAAGAGTTCCTACATATTCTATAATAATCAATAAATTGTGTTATAAAAGTTTTATTAGAGGAATTTTTGCAGTAGTGATCTCTTTAATGCATTTAAAATTAGATATACATATTGTTTTACCAAAACTTTCTTTAGGCACAAGCTTGTTCACACTTACGTCAGGAGGAAAGTAAGTTTTTTTTTTGTTTTTGTTTGTTTGTTTTTGTTTTGTTTTGTTTTGTTTTGTTGGGATGGAGTCTGGCTCTGTAGCCCAGGCTGGAGTGCAGTGGCACCATCTCGGCTCACTGCAAACTCCACCTCCCGGGTTCACGTTATTCTCCTGCCTCAGCCTCCCGAGTAGCTGGGACTACAGATATAGAAAGTAAGTTTTTAAAACATACTTTCTTTTCAAGATTTACATGATAGGGAGAGTTGCCTCCATCGCAGGAGGCGGGACACGTCTGGCAGTGCTGAGAGGCAGTAACTCCCCCCATACAAGTGCTAGCTTGAAAGGCTGCCCATTGCTGGTGAAAGATGCAACAGCTAACAGACAAAAGCCCACAGCCCAGGTATGTTACCCCACCTGGAATCCATGCCTGCCTCCCCTACAACTTCACCTGCTCCCCACCTGGCCCCCAGGCTGACTTTAGCCCCCATGGCCCCCATGTAAGCTTTGTTAGGCCAAAGTCTGTCATTTACCATCTCAACTGACTTTGACCAAATATTAAAAAAATGCAAATAGATATTTATTTTGTATGCTGATAACTACAATTAGTTGAGCACTCACTATGTGCTGAAGCCACATTTTGTGCATCAGAATCACACAGGAGCAGAATAAGGATGAGTTTAGCTTAACCTCACTAAAAGTGTGGATTCTGGATTCAAATTGCTGAAGTTTGAATCCCGCTTCTGCCACATTGCATAATTGCCTTGATAAACCTCACAGCCATACTGTAAGTCAGGTAATAACATCTCCAATTTATGAATGAGGAAACTGAGGCTGAGCAAGGTTGAATTTCCTTCCAAATTTGTACAGCAAGAGGCAGAGCTGCGATGGACACAGGTTTGCATAGAAGACAGCTGAGGCCCTCTCCTGCTGCTTAAGATCCTTCCCTTTTGTCACTTCATCTGCCTATGATACCCCTCGTGCTAAACTATAATATCGACTGGCTAAAACTATACATAGCACATGCAGCTGAGAATTATAAAACCCCAACCTCTCCCCAAAAGAATTCACTGTGCTCCAGAATGTGGAGTTTAAATAGTTATTATCCAATTATTTTTAAGATGTCCAAATTTACCCATTACATGCCAAAAGTTTTTCAATCCCTATTTCAAATATTCATTTATTTTCTTGAATAAATTATGACTTACATGGTAACAAAAGTTGTATTAGTCCTAGACTTAACATAATAATGCAATAACCAGTAT
Source organism: Homo sapiens (assembly GCF_000001405.40). Taxonomy (NCBI): domain Eukaryota; kingdom Metazoa; phylum Chordata; class Mammalia; order Primates; family Hominidae; genus Homo; species Homo sapiens. Next base: position 107,817,417 of record NC_000010.11, on the reverse strand, counting down.
GTTTGGTTGGACCCTTATTTCTGTGGACATTTTATTCAGAACCTCACTGCCTTTCCATCTTTTGTATGTATTTAATGCTATACCATCCCTCCTTGCTGGCTCATACTGCTGACAACCCTTGGTGTTATATATGTTTGTTCCTTCAACAATCAGTATTCTTGAGGGTTTTTTATGAGGATAATATTAATCTTATCTCAACAAGAAGTTGGGTATGCTTTCACCTTACACATCAACATAGAGTTCAATTAATTTCTAAAGTATTGAGCACTGAACTCTGCAATTACAAATTAGATGCTAATTAATGCTCTTTTACTTGCTCATTTATTTGGAATCTTCTCTTTTTTTCCTCCCTGTCAGAGCCCAAGTAAGTATGTAAATTCCATTAATTGTTTTTACTAACTCATTAAATGGGTTGTAGACCAAAGTAGTAATTCTGAAAATTATAGCCATCCAACACCTACATTTGTAAAAGACACAACATTCTAAAGGATATTGTTAACTAGACAGTAATTAAAAACCGCAGGGAAAGCGTTCCCCAGCAAGATATGTGATGACTTTAATTAATTTCTGAAATAACATAAATTCTTTAAGAGACGTATCTAACCTTGAGATTTCATGAAATTGCTGCTAGTAAAAGAGTGAAAAGAAACATCATTTGATATGTTTTAATATGAAGATTATTGGAAGATAAGAAAAAAAGCCCTGAACATATGCAGAAAAACTAAAATTTATTGACTATATACATTTTATTTTCACGATTTTAACAATTCTGTTCCAAAGTTTTATACCCATTTTATAGATGAGAACTGAGGCTCAGAGTCCTGAAGTAACTTATGCAATGCTCTTCTGAGGGGAGCATTCCAAGCACAGGGACCCACGTGAAAAGCTGAAGACAAAGAAACAGTGGAGTTAGAACTAAAGGAAGATCAACATGCCTGGAGTATGGGGGCTGGGGACCATGGCCTGAGCTAAGGCCCATGTAGTAATCAGAGCTGCACATGCAGACTTTTCTAGGAAATATTAAGGATCTGGGGTTTCATCTCTCATGGTTTGAAAAGATCACTCTTTCCACAATATGAAGAATGGCTTGGGGACAAAAAGTGGGAGACAAGATGCCAGGCTGCTGCCAAAGCCCTGGGGAGATGGTGATAGCAAGGACTGCAGAAGAGAAGAGCAGAGTAGTGACAGATTTAGCAGGTGAGAGTGTCAGGAATCACTCATGATGCCAGCAAAACGGGTGATGCAGGAAAGACATGTGAGGATGATTTCCAGGTTTTCAGACTGCTCCCCTGTGGGAAAGGTTATGTCCTTTTTGAAGTAGAGAGTGCTGGAGGAAGAGAAATTAGCAGGGAGTTTGAGTTTGTTCTAGGCCATGAAGAGTTGAATTATGACATAGAAAAGGTATTTGAATGTACAGCTAGAGTTCAGAGTAGATATCTATACTGAGTTTGAAAGCAAAAATGAAGAACATTTAAAAATTTTATTTGTGTTTCTCCAAGTGTTTTTTTTAACACTACTTGTATCAGAAGCACTTGCATATCTCTCATGACTCAATAGTTCTCAGACTTTAACATCCCTCAGAATCACCTGGTTATAGTGAAGTGAGGAAGACAAAAGCTCTAGAGTTTGCTTGCTTCGGTTTGAATCAGCTCTGACACTTTCTAGAATAAATTTGCACAACGTGGTGCTTCTGTGCCTCTATATCTTTCTCTAGAAAATGGGGATGATAATACCTACTTCAGTTGGGTTTCTTGAAGCTTAAATACAAAAACAGGGACATAAGGAATTAAGCTAAGTAAGCTAGCACACATAAAGGCTTTGGAACACTTAGTGGCACTTAGTAAACAGTCAAAAAAGGCTGGTGTAGCCATGATTGTTTTCCAGATAATTTTTTAAAATGCAGATTCATGAACGGCAAACAGGATTATGATGTTGACATCGAGTTACAGAGCAAAGTGAGCATTTCAATGTGGATTTGGTGGTGGTTCAGACTGGAGATAGATGATTAATTAGCATTCAGTGACTCTGGGCAGGATAATCTTGGACTCTACCACGCCTATTAAATCACAATCTCTTGGTTCGTAGGACAGGAAGTCGATATTTCTGAATAAACTCTCCAGGTTCTGGTGATGCTGATCCACTGCCAGGCTTGAAAGTGGTTATATATTAGACAAGATCCTGTGATTCTTGTTGTGTCAGGTCTGGTTGTTCATGAAAATGTGCAGTCCTCCTTAAGATGTTACTTTTCTGGGAAGCAGGTGGCCAGCCAGAAAGCACACTGGGTATGGGGTGTGAGCACATGCCTAGCACTCAGCAATGGACATGAAAGGAAGCGATGTTTATCACTTCTGGGCCAAGGCTTCTAAGAAGCAGTGGTGTCCTTTCCACCCTGTTTTTCCCCTTTGGCTCATGGAAGCAGAGGACAATGAGCACTAGGGGGAGCCGTAGCCATAAGATGAAAGGAATTGAGGGCATGGACTTGCTGATGGTAGGATAGTCTGCTGTCACACAAATGAGGAAAAAAAGCTTCTAATATGTTAGGGAAATATTGGAAATTACTTGTAATGGCAGTTGGTGTTACTCTGATAGGTGCTTTTAAACATGAGACTTCTGTCTAAGGCAATATTTATCCAAAACCTATTGATGGCAAGGGTCACTCCATCACAATCAATATGCTAGACTCTTATGATACAATGAATAAAAAGATATTTTGTTTGGTTCTTGGAATATAACTATCTGAACAATCCCAATTTTTCGTTGTTTCTGGTTGTTATTGTTTATTTTTTATTTAAAGTAGAATAATTACTAAAAGTGTGAATTAGGAGGAATCTTAAATTTTTCTGAGTAAATACGTATTATAAATTAGCGAAAATTGGTAGCTTTCTCTTTGGTATCAAAGCTCTTCGATGGCGCAGGAAAGGATTCGGTGGTTTTGTCTGTCTGAAAGTAAGTGATTGGTCTCTCTTCTGTATCTCTTCAGACAACCAAACGCCTGTTTTTGTAAAATAAAAGAATGTGGTTTGTATCTAGATCATTACTTAAACTAATAAAAAAATTGCCAAGCAGTGTAAACATCAATACTTATGAATTATTACCCTAAAGAATGTTGGCTAAATTTACATATAGATTAAACTTAAATTTATGAAATGTGATTTTCTTTCATTCTGATGACTTAATGTCATTTGTATTTTATGGGCAAGGTTCCAGCACAAAATGTTCTGTTTTTCTATGTGACTGAGGACATGGAAGACCTCACCACTTGATAGACCCCATGACATTAAATTGCAAATTGAATTTGAGATGGCAAAGAAAGAATATGTTGAGGCTTAGAAATTAGAACGACATGGGGGTAACACACATGGCCTGAGAAACTCACAATGAAGCTTCTTCCTCTTGAAAAGAGGTTTACAGAACGCAGTTTTTATTACTGAGGCCATATGTTTGATATCAGCCTTTGATTAACACCCGCCCCACTTGTTCTTTTCATGGAGAAGACATGGATCTCCTTTCCTGGAGTTTTATTATATGAAAACACACACACACACACACACACACCATTAAATTGCAAATTGATTTTGAAAAGCAGCAAAATGACATGGTAGAAAGTGACTGAGGCCTAGAAATTAGGATGAGGCAAAGTTAATATGTTACCTGAGAAATTAATAATCATCTTTCCTGCTTGCTAATGAGAGTTTACAGACAGCAGGTTCAATTATTGAGGCCGTATGTTTGATGTCAGCCTTTGATCGGCACTGACTCAGCTTGTTCTCTGCAGGGAAAAGTCTTTAATCTCCTTTTCTTGTAGTCTCTTACACATACACACCCCTCCCACATAACTTGACCGGATAAAAGAGAAATCAGACGCTTATGTTTTCACTTTGATTGTTCATGCTTTAGATTGAAATGGCTTTCCTATTTTGACGGTGGTGACAAGACTTAACTTTTTTTTTTCTTTTGTTGTTTTTCCCCCAAGGGCATGTGATTTAACACAGTCAGCTTCCTAATGATCACTGATTTCTTAAGAAACACCATATGTAACGGTACCCACACACTGTACTCTTCCTACCTCTTCTACTCCTGTCTATAACACTGGCCCGGTCCCTTCGCTTCTCTATACATTAGCTCCTTCAACCATTAAGGGGAACCTGTAATAGGTTGTAATATGGAGCTTCTCAAATCATTGGGATGATTAAACAAGATTGTAATGTTTCTCAAAGTCTACGTCTGTTACTTCTACCACTATCTCTTAATTACAAGCAGAACCAGGGAAGGTGATTGTAGTCTTACAGGGAGACTTTTCTACTAGTTACCAGTTTAACTTCCCCGAATGAACTAAAAATGGGTTTAGGAGGGTAGAAACGGGAGTCAGGTCACTGGAAGAGAGGAATAGGAATTGATCAGCAAGTCATGCACAGAATATTAATAAATCAGAGAGAGTGATCACTGTGTCATTTCTCAAAGTACGTTTTCTAACCCAGCAAACTTGCCTCGGTTGCTTATTAAATATTTAGATTCCTGGACCTGATAGAAGACTCATTGAAAAAGAAGGTCTGGAGTTGGGGCCTAGGAAGCTGCTTTTTGAACAAGATTCCCATGTGATCATAGCACACATGTAAGTGTTGTGCACTGTAATGGAAGTTTTAAATGGGATATAAATAAAATACTCAAAGTAAATGGGTTTTCATTTTCCATCTTGATGTATTAACTGACAATCCTTTCCCCCTTCCCCTCACCACACCCACATTCAGACCTTTTTTTTCCTCCCCTGCAATCCAACAGAAACAGCTCTCTTTTCCCAAAGCCAGAAGAATGATAAAACAAAGCCCTGGTAGGTATAGAAGTAAAGGCATGCTTTAAGCCATTGCAAATTCTTTTTATAAACAGAAATATATAACTTATGAATAAATTAGAAAATCAACACGTGACTCTACAAGGAGCCTTGAGCCTCTGCTCCTCAGATCCAAGAGCAGTTATGAAGTTGGCAAAATAAGTCAGTCTTTGCAACCTCCCTCAGAATTAACACCAGCTCCACAAAACAGGGATGAAATGAAAGCCTTTCCTTGTGGGTGAACATTATCGCCTATCACTGCCAAGCTGAAATTTACAGTTAAAACGCCTTATCCATTATTCCCACTTTCCCATGTGTTTTAACACCTCATGATGAGATTAGCTTTCACACTCGGGCTCCATGTTGACTAGTGCTGTATTATGGATTTTCGTTTTTTATTAAATTAGGAACAAGCATCAGTATTGTCTATACATTTGCTTTCAACCACCAAGAGTCAGGAGTGAAGTTTTATTTTGTTTTGTTTGGGGAATAAAAAATACCTTTCAGTTTTCTGATTTCCCTGATGATTCTACTCTCTAGAAGAACTGTGAGGGATCCAGAGAATGGCTAAAAAACACACTTCGCCCATGTTGTTTATAGTTGTTCCACATGTATCATATATATTTCATGTCTCAGTGAACATACGTCTTTGACTACAGAGCACACACAAACACAGACCCATGCTCTCATATAACCGAGTCTGTATAGAAGTTGGTAGATCAGCGTGGTAAAGCAAAATTCATAAACAGACTGATGGATACTTAATTCTATAAAATAAAAGTCTAAATTATAATTTTTCAGTATCGGCTTCATTCTCTTGATTTTATTGTTTTCCTGGAAGGAGAATCAAAAGTTTAAAATTTGCTTTTGTTGATTTTGTTTTGTTTGGCTTCCTGTTTGTGACAGTGAGTCTAAAACGAGGGAGGGCCACTCACCAAAATGGAAATATTGGATGGGTAGCTTTGTTTTGCTTTATTTTCTCTATCCCCCTCCCTCTTTTGCCACCTGTCTCCCTCTCTCTAAATTCTATGAACTAATATTTACTGGGCACTCAGTAAACATATTACAGGCCCTGTACTATGGCATTTATTTCATTCACAAAACTGTACAGAAGAGGTACTTGAATTTAGAAAAGGTAATAAGTTACTCAACATCATAAAGCTAGTAAATGAAAGGGCCAGCTTAGTCACTTATTGGTTCATTCATTCATTAATGTCATCAATACTTATAGCTGACTTTTTGTGTGCAGCTGTTCTTGATCCTGGGGTGCAGCAGTGATGTCCCTGCCTCATGGAGCTTTTATTCGAAGGGGGAGATGAACACACACACATCCACACAAACACACCCACACACACACACTATGGACTCCAAAAGCTATGGAGAGAAATGAAACAAGATAAAGACTAGAAACAAATGGTGATCACATTGGTTTAGATAGGTGATCAGAAAAAGCATTTCTAAGAATGAGACATGTGACCTTATAAAACTGAATGTCTGGAAGCAGTGGATGATGTGTGGGTATTTGGAAGACGTGAAATTTTATATGATCTGTAAGTCCCTGTACAATCAGTTTTTGCCTCCCTTATAATCTTATTTTTTCCTATGCTACCACTCATTCTAAATATTCCTGATTTTCTCTTTGTTTCCTAATGGGCTGTACATCTTCTTAGTTTAGAATCCTCACCTGTGCCATTCCTTTTTTTCTTGCTAAAATTCCCTCCACACAGGTTTTTCTTTTGTTTTGTTTTTTTCTGGCTATTTTCTGCTCCTATACCATGGAGTATGTGTCTTGGTAGCAGAGTATTCACAAATTGCCATTTATCTGATTGCATTTCCTGTTAAACTGTAAGATCCATGAAAGAAGTAGTTATATCCCCAAATCAATGAAAAACATAGATTCAAGCAGAAGCATGTATGCCAATGATCATAGTAGCATTATGCAAAATAGCCAAAAGGTGGAAAGAACTCGGTGTCCATCAGCAGATGAACGAATAAACAAAGTATGCTATACACATACAATATAATATCATTCAACCATAAAGAGACAAAACGCTGACACATGTGACAACATGGATACAACTTAAAAAAATGCTAAATGAAATAAATCAGACACAGAAGGACAAATATCATATAATTTCACTTATATGAGGTACCTAAAATAGGCAAATTCATAGAGACTGAAAGTAGAATAGAGGTTAAGAGAAGATGAGAGAGGAAGGGGAGTTGTTTAATGGGTTCAGAGTTTCTGCTTAGGATGATGATAACATTCTGGAAATAAATCATAGTTGTGGTTACACAAAACTGTGAGTTTATTTAATGCCACTAAATTACACACTTAAAATGGTTAAAGTGGTAATTTTTAAAGATATATTTTATCACAATATGAAAGGACCCATGGAGGAAGTTTCTTTTATTCTTTCACAATTATATCCCTAGCACCTTGAACAGTACCTGACAGACACAGCAGATGCTTAACACATGTTTACAGAGTGAATGAACCAATATTAAGTTTGGCTTTATGTTTGGGGCCCATCTATGCACTTAACCACTGCATAGGTGATTTTCAGAGTTTGTTGCAAGCATCTTGCAGACGATTTAAGGTGGAGTTTAAAGTGGTTTTAGGTGGAACAGAGCCACAACATCACCACCATGTAACACAGCGCTATATCTCACACACACACACACACACACACACACACACGTTTTGACTGACTTTCTGATTATTGCTACTTTTAAAATTCCTGTGGATTAGATCAAAGTCTCATTTTTGTTATCCTTCTTCCATGCTCTTGTAACACTTGCTAAACTCTTTTATTTTTTTCTTCCCTTTATCTTACCCCCACCCCCACTTTTATTTTTTTGAGACAGAGTCTTGCTCTGTCGCTCAGTGCCATCTCAGCTCACTGCAACCTCCGCCTCCAGGGCCTAAGTGATTCTCGTGCCTCAGCCTCCCGAGTAGTTAGGATTATAGGCATGAGCTATCACACCTGGCTAATTGTTTATGTAGAGATGGGGCTTCGCCATATTGCCCAGGGTGGTCTCAAACTCCCGAACTCAGGCGATCTACCCGCCTTGGCCTCCCAAAGTTCTGGGATTACAGGCGTGAGCCACTGCACCCAGCAACCCCCTTTCTTTTCTTTCTTCTTTTCAGCATAAAGAAGAAACTTCAGGCTCACATCTCCCCATCCCCCATGGGCAGCAACACTTAGAAACCAATCATACGATTTGTAATGTTGTTATCTTGATCTTTTGAAATGTAAAAGTGATACTGGCTTATCATAGGTGGTTATAATACAACACATAAAATATTTTAAAGGATTTGATTTAGAGAAAATGTTATAAGACAATAATAATAATACTGACGGACTGTGGATATTGCCAAAACCAGGAAGGTGTTACAAAGATGACTGAGCGAGCTGAAGCTGTCCTAACTTGGGCTCCCTGCATTCCTAGGCTTTGGTCTGCATTTGTCTTTGTCTACAGCAGCGCGTTTGGTGTCTGTCTCTCCGCGCACTCTCTAACTGCCTCTCTTACCTTTTGGCCCATGCTGTCTGTCCACTCCTCCATCTCTCACCACCCCATGTGGTGCATCTCAGACTGCTTTTGCATAGCTCTGTCTTCCACATCATCCCTGGAGAAGGGAGAAAAGTGCTGCTAGTCTGGAAGGGGCTGTCTGTGTGGAATAATTGTGGTGTTTCCTTCTTCCAGATAGATTCTTGATGAAAATGCACAGCTGCTTGTTTTGTTCATTACCTCTGACATTTTCCCTAAAAACTACTGAACTTTTCCCTGGCCGCCTTTAGTTTTTAGTGTTGGTTCCAAGTGAATAGCAATGACAGTAGTTACCAAAATACAAAGGGGTGATGACTTGTTTTACAGGGGAATGCTACTTTAAACAGGCACGCACGCATGCACACACACACATGCACACACACACTCACAGTCCCTCTTATGATTTAGAACCACGGATTATGGATACCAGACGTGGGTTGATAGGCTGGTGATTAACTGAGTCCTCCACAGGAAAGGAGAGTCAGACCACTTCTCTTGGGAGTGGAGACTCAAACATGGAACATGATATGTTTGTGTGTGTCCGTGTGCTATATTGATAATAAAGACATTAGCTTTTTTCTTATTTCTCCTGTGTAATCTTAGCTCCAAGAGAGCTCCCTACCTTCCTTATTTTTCACTGTATCAAACAATAGGGTGGCAAACTTTGGCATCTTCAAGGTCACCCTCTACTTCTATATCATGTTTTCATCAGAAGCCATCGTAAAAAAAATTAAGTATAACATGCATAGAATTGTGTAAATCCAGGACAGGACTGGTGCAGAGATGCACAGAAGGAAGGTAGGGGTCAGACACACAGCACAAAATTCTTAAACCTTGACTTTTTCCGTAAAAGGCTCATTTACGCGCACACACACACACACAGAGACAGAGAGAGAGAGACTAATGCACAAACACATTCTGAATTAATCTCCAAGAAAACAGCATTCACGCATCAGTGCAGACAGCTCCTTGCAACCTGCTTTACACTTCACAGAAACCAAGACAATCAGGGAAGCCCTGAATGGAATAGATGACTCCTTTTCTCCAGCAAAAGAGCTGAGATGAATGATAGGAGTGTGGTTGTGACTGCTAGGGTCTGTCCCTGCTATTTATCTGCACAAGTTATGAACCAGCCTGCATTCTTCTTACTCCTTACCTCTGACCTCATTTTACGGAGACATATATATTTGTTGCCTCTGTTGCTCCCTAAATCTCACCATCACCACAATGCATCTAACTCTGGTTCACTACCTAACCATCTGACAACAGTTCACTAGTTCCAGTGTTCTCTTACTGTTGGAGATGATGAATGGAATGGCACATTTGTCACCCATACAGGGTTGTTAGGGCTGTGTCGCACTGAAATCTAATGTCTCTTAACCTGTATGACTCAATGGCATATTTACACATTATTTTAAATTATTTTGAATCAGATTGTATTTTCAAACTATTCCTAATCATAGGTCAGTATCTCTCTGGGTAAGATGGCTTTCTCTTTCTGCCAGTTTCCTTCATTTCTGTCACTTTCCTTAAAATTGCTTAGCTCCTATGAGTGGTACCTTGAGAACAGTCCTTTTATCCGGTGAAGAAAGGATGGAAAGAACAATACCATCAGAGTCAAGGACCTGCGTTCTCTCCCTATTCCCAAGCTCCTGACTTCTGAGTGATCTTGGGAGAATGCCTAATATTTTTGAATCTCATTTTTTCCATGGGACAAATGGAGCAATAAACATTGACCTCCCCTTATTATTGCTAAAATAAACATTGATCTCTCTTTATTATATTACATTATATTATAAAATATACTTGTATTATTATAAAATAATAGTATTTTATTATTATAAAACTAATTGTGGTTTTTTTACCATTACTTTCAATTGCAAAAACTGCAATTACTTTTGCACCAAACTAATATTACAGAGTCCCAGTTAGAAAATGAGTAGAAATCTATATTGTTAATGAACTTTATCCACATTCTATATACAATTATTTAAATTATAGCCTTATTTTATAGTATCTTTATGAATTACATGTATCAAAGTAATACATGGCATGGTTAAAAAATTCAGTTAAATTTTAATGAAAAGTGCCAATGTTTTACCTCATTGTTCCTTGCCTGAAGACCATCTCCCTGGAAGCTTTTATTTTAATAATTTCTGGCTTTTGATTTTAATAATTTCTGTCTTTAGTGTGTTGGTCGTTGCTTCATAGGTCTTAAGCGGTATTCTTCAAACTCTATCTTTTCATTTACTACTTAGACTCTTTTGTTTTTATTTCCTATATTTTTCTATCTCACCTTCTTAGAATACTTCTAATTATTTTTTATCCCAAATTTCTGCCCAGAAAAGAAACTGAGTGAAAGGAAAAGGACAACCTTCCCCCTTCATTTCCTACATCTTGAGCTCCACAGAACCATTGGCTCTGCTCAGAGGGAGCACTCACCTGAGACCAAAGGTCAACCTGGAGCATGCACTCAAGGGGACATTAATGGGAACATTGGGTCCTGGTGTGGTAGCTGTGAGAGGGTTATTTATTTATTCAGTGGTAATGCAACATATAGCAAAATCACTCGGAATCCCCATCACTAATTTGCCAAAATAAAGATAACTTGCTGCCCTTCTAAATTTAATAGTCTTTCAGCTGCAGCGGGGGTTGCTTTGACAATAATATGTCTTTTCTTTTGTGCCAGCTTCTGCCTTCAGCTTAAATAGCAGCACAATTAGACCTGGATTCCTGCAACTGTCAAGATGAATAAGATGAAGCAAGAATTCCATTGCTTTATCCTGCTGCATTTTGGTTTTGTTTTCTAAGTTAATTATTCACAGGATGTAGCATTTTGTTTTGTTTCTCCATGGCAGAGGATGAAGACACAGTATAAATCAATGCCCTGTGCTTATCTAGGATTACACAGGGAGAGACCTCTGAAGTTGATTGGAGATGTTTGGGAGAAAGAGAGATTTTTTACAAGGAAAAGTGTAAAGGACTGCTTAGCTAATACTAAAAAAGCTTCAATGGTGCCAAGGAATACAAATTAAGAACTCACATGGAGAAGGCCAATAGGATGTCCTTGTTTATTGAAGAGTAATAAATATTTTTAAAAATAGATTTAATTTTGATTAAAGCAAAGCCTTTCATTGGGTGCAGCATTTAATCTATAGGAATTCTGTTCTATAGGACTAGTTAAGACAGAATTTGCTCAGCAGAATAAAAAAAATGAAAATAATGGGAACAGAATAGAAATCAATAGGTAAATTTGTTGGTTCAAAATTCACCTCTTCTGTTATCAAGTTATATAACTACTATGGTGATAAGAATAGTTCTCTCTGATTTTAGAAATGGTATTAGTAAACAATGGCACATATCATGCATGGAAGGAAGCACATATTATGATAATACCATCCTCCATTTGAATTGTGTTTTTAGATTTTCAGTACACTGAAATACCTTCACCAGTTTGAATCTCCCAAGTCTCTGGAAAGTAGGACAGCAGGCGTTAGTGTTTTTACTTTCTAGATGAGACAGGTGATCCTGAACTGAAACCTGCTTCTCATTAGCTCTTAGCCTTGTATTAGTTCAACTGGAGGAAACGTCAACTCACTTGTCTTTAAGCCTAAATTCCATAACATTTCAACTGGAAGTAAAGCTCTGAACAAAATGTTTTGTTGTTGTTGTGGTTAAAATTGACTAAGAAAAATAGCATCTCCCTCTCCTTTCCACTCAGCCAATCCTATATCCTTCTTCAAATCCTTATAAGATTTCTCATTCCACTCAAATTCTCCTTATATGTTTCATTCGTGGAGTTGGTGAGAAGAGTTTGGAACACCTTTACTATTCTTAGGTTGTCCTGAATTCAACACACAGTACATTAATGCTAGACCTTCCAAAAGGTTGTAAATATAATCAGGCCTCAAGTCAAATTTTGCTCTGTCACTTATATGGATGACTTTCCATAAGTTACTGAATTGCTTTAAACTTTAGTTTTCTTATCTATAAAATACTTAAATAAATATACCTCCTGTGGTAGTTATTGGATTTTTGTATGTGTCTCTTTCACTAATCAGTTCTATTATTTTGGATCTATCAATCAAAGGATTCACTTCCTGGAAATTAGGGTTTTGTAAGTGACTCAGGACAAGCCTGCCAAGAAAGTGCAAACCCCTGCATGTGGTAACTGGTGTGATGCTGGACATGTGACCCAAGAAAGACCAACCAATGCTCTTCCTTGGGACTTCTCTGCTGGAGTCATAGGCACTACTCTTGCAGCCTTGTTTGTCCATCTTCCTTATCATATGAAGGAACGTGTCTAAGGAACAGGAGACTGAATCCCATCCAAGGCACAAAAAGTCAGGGGAGGAGAGGGAGCAGGCAGACTGTGAGATTAACAAGAATAAAAAGATTCCTGTCTTACTCACTTTAACATCTCTAGGTAAAACAAAGCCAGCTGGGCTAGCAAATAGCCTTAATAAATAATTGTCAGATTTGTAAATTCATGAGTCTACATTAGGGGTTCTGAGCAAAACAACGTGGTGTTTGTTGAACTTGACAAAGTGATAAATTATGTTTGTGTTTACTCTTTCAATCTCAAGGCTAATTGATGTGCCAAGAGTCTAAAATAAGATGGATACATACATTTATTGTTAAGCTAAAAACTGAGTTTCTGCAAATATAATTTACATAATGGCTGACCACTGGGTGGCTCATTGATGGTCACTAACTGAATATCAGTGTTGTACGATGGCTAGAACGTGACATTTATCTCAGAAATATATAGGTTTAAAGATCTAGGAGACATCTAAGACATGATAGGCATAAATGAGGAGGGTGTTTTCAAAGCACTTTTTGCCTGAACCTTGAATGCTGATACAGCCACCCTTGGGATGTATGATAGATTGAAAACTATGAGCATATTTTCTTCCCATCTTAGTTGCACCCCCATCTTCAATGTACCTTTGCTAATTCTTTTATAAAGGGGTAGAGTCCACTTGCTAAACTTTGAAACTAGCTGGACTCATGACTTGTTTGACGAGTGGATTTTGGCTGATGTGTTAGGAGACTTCCAAAGCTAAGTCCTATGAGGATTCACAGCTTTTACCTTCCCAGTCTTGGGCACTGCGCTGTGAACAGCACACAAGAAAGGCACTGCCCTGTGACCAGCACGCAGAGAAGTCTTAAAAAGAATGAGAGGCCATGTGAAGAATTGAGATTCCCATGTAACAGTCCACAGCAACTGTGAGACATCCAGATAACCCAACCCCTAGCTAATGGATCACAGTCAACCCACAGAATCATGAATCAAGTTAATCATTGTCATTAAGCTGTTGACTTTCAGGTGATTTGTTAAATGACAAAAGCTTAATCTAACTCTCCCGATTCAAACTCACACACATACATATGCACGCACACAGGCACACAGGCACACACACACACACACACACACACACACACACAGCATTAAGAGTTATTGCTAGATATTCAGTGACTGATGGTATGCTTGCTATCCTTTATATTTGGGTCAAGGGAGAAAACAAGCAAAGAAACGAGGATTGTGAACCATAAACCTATTTTCTGGGGCTGTTTTCTTTTTATGTAAAATGAATGTCAAAGGGTTGTTTGTAAAGATTAAACACACAGGGCTTGAAACATAGGAATTACCTGGTTTTGTTTGCTTCTGTGAATCCTCATGTTTCCTAGAATCCTGCTTTACTCCTGCTATCACTGTAGTATAAAATTTTAGTTAGTAGTGGGTGCACTCTTTCTCATGTTTTTTTTAATGTGTTTCTTTGTGTGTTTTTAATCTAAACTTGTGGATTTAATCCAAACTTGTGGAAGGAATTAGAATGTAATTCAAACTCCAGCCTGAATGTCAGTCATTGTCAAAGACATTTTACTCATGTATCTTTCCGGCATTCCTTCAGTTTTGGGAATGGCTCCTCTCTGATGCAACATAATGAAGGAGGAAATGCAGTCAGTCAAAGAGCCTGTCTCCTAAAGGAGGCAATCAGAGCCCTCTTTTGGGAGTTAGTTTTAGATACCAGGAGAGGCAGTACCTCTGCTCTTCTGAGATCCCAAGCTCTTCGTTGTCATGTAGACATGGAAGGATCACTGCCTTTCCCATTAAGAGGAAAGAACCTGCCAGAGAATGAAGATGTCACAAAGGAAAGCAGGGGATAAAGAAGAGAGAGAGATATAATGCATAGAGATATATTTCTCTATTTCTTAAACACATAATTTGAACTCTTGAGTCCAGCTATTATGTATGCATTTTCAGTAATGTGATCACATGAATTCATTTTTTTCCTTCAATAAGCTTGATATTAGTCATCAATATCTCCAAGTAAAAAACCCTGTTGTTAATCTCCTGATAATGTTTATTTGGAGGGTGCAGCAAGGATATTTTGGGTGTTTCTAAAAATTAGATTCATAGCTGTATCAGCCCAGTCCCTTATATTCTGTTATTTAACCTAAGATTGCTTCATCCTTGACCAGACAAGCATAATGAAAAGAAGAACCTATGGGAATTTGATTTTCCAGAAACTCATAGGAACCCAGTCAGCATTCTCATTGAAGGACTAGGCTTCCTAACCAACAAACTCAACAAGCCTGTACACTGTGTGAAATAATAACTGAAGGAAACCTGAGTGCTGGTTTAGAAGGAGAGATAGGTGGTGGAGATAAAACACTTAAAAACTGTTTTATCTTTTATGAGCCTCTAAAAACATCTTTATACATACTTTTTTATGAAATGTGTATCCTCTTTGTCTAGGGTATATTCCAAGAAGTAGAACTGCTGCAATTGGCCTTGTTGGACTATCTCTAGCTATGACCACCCAAAGTCATGCTACAGAGGTATATCTATGGCTAAATCTGTTTCCACGTATCCTTGCCAACTCTTGAACTTATCAGACTGTTTACTTTTTGCCAGTCTCATGCCTCTCAACTCTTTAGGAGTAAATTACACCCGCCAGATAGGAGTTTGTGTCAAGTCAAAAAGGTGAGAGAGTGTGAGTGGTGGGTGACAGGAGGAACACATATCCGGAAATGGAATGTGAGGAGACTTATCTTCTCCTCAGTACTCACTTCACCTGAGGGAGGAAAGGTCACATGCTAACTGACGCCCAGTCAAGGAGTGGACCAGGAGACATTGTTATAATGGCTTATTCCTATCTTCTTTTGCTCAGTTCCTAGATGGGAGCTATCCACCTCCTGATCAGTCAGTTTCTCCTAAAGGACATCTGTGAACTCATTCTGGTGAGGTCTTTAAGAAAAAATAAGTTCTAGGATGAAAAAAAAAAAGAAAGAAAGCAGAAACCATTTGCCTGCTGTCAGGGAGTTCCTGGCTTACAGAAATCACAAATTTGACAGCCCTTGAATCTAACTTAGGTAAAAGATATAAATCATATGACCAACAAAGTGTTTAAAGCTTTTAAAAGATTTTGTCCACAAATTGAAACTCAGGACATTTTAGTTACTAATTCAAATTCTATTTTTTTTTAATTATTTATTTTTTTATTGATCATTCTTGGATGTTTCTCGCAGAGGGGGATTTGGCAGGGTCACAGGACAATAGTGGAGGGAAGGTCAGCAGATAAACAAGTGAACAAAGGTCTCTGCTTTTCCTAGGCAGAGGACCCTGCGGCCTTCCGCAGTGTTTGTGTCCCTGGGTACTTGAGATTAGGGAGTGGTGATGACTCTTAAGGAGCATGCTGCCTTCAAGCGTCTGTTTAACAAAGCACATCTTGCACCGCCCTTAATCCATTTAACCCTGAGTGGACACAGCACGTGTTTCAGAGAGCACAGGGTTGGGGGTAAGGTCACAGATCAACAGGATCCCAAGGCAGAAGAATTTTTCTTAGTACAGAACAAAATGAAAAGTCTCCCATGTCTACCTCTTTCTACACAGACACGGCAACCATCCGATTTCTCAATCTTTTCCCCACCTTTCCCCCCTTTCTATTCCACAAAACTGCCATTGTCATCATGGCCCGTTCTCAATGAGCTGTTGGGTACACCTCCCAGACGGGGTGGTGGCCGGGCAGAGGGGCTCCTCACTTCCCAGTAGGGGCAGCCGGGCAGAGGCGCCCCTCACCTCCCGGACGGGGTGGCTGGCCGGGCGGGGGGCTGACCCCCCCACCTCCCTCCTGGACGGGGCGGCTGGCCGGGCGGGGGGCTGACCCCCACACCTCCTTCCCGGACGGGGCAGCTGGCCAGGCAGAGGGGCTAGCTTCCTTTAAATAGGTGAAGACCTTGCAACACTGGGTTTGAGTTTCCACTCACCGTAGATGAGCACACACTCTTCAGTTTCCAATATCCTCCCTGTTTTCTTACACTCAAGATACCTCATTTCTTTCTTGTTACCTGCAGGCACTTGATATTGCAGCACCTTGTCTTATATCATTGATTCTGATGACTTTAGGAAGACAGTATTAACCAGATCAACAGAACTGACAAGGACTCCAGTCAACCTGTATAACTACCAAATCAGAAACATGCTAATGACCCTTTTTAATACCTTGCTTTCTTGCTCTTAGCCAATAATAGGCTTTCAGCACCAGTAACGTGGTGTCATGGTGGAGAAGAGGAAGAAGGATAACAATCTTGCTTAAAAATAGCATGAAAAATGGCCTGTTCTTTATAGACTTATCTGTGGCTTTCTTGCTTGCCTAATCTTGAATTTGCCCTGAGTCAGTCATCGGCTGTTGAAATGAGAGAAATGTTTTAAGAATGAGAGAATGAAGGATTTTCTCAAAGGGATGTGGCAAGAGAAATGAAAATTAACATTACATTTCCACCTGCCACCTGCCACTGTCACTTTAAAAGAACACATGGCAAGTGTGGAAATGTACATTATTAGTCTTTTTTTTCCTCTGTTGAGATAAATAATCTGGTCTATGATGCAGAAGAGAGTATAAATGGGTTCCCAGCTTTATGTCTCACCATCATCTCTTTCTGCCTCATGTAGAAGAAGAAACTGTTATGTATTTCTTCATATTTTACAGAAAAATGTGAAGAAAACACTCTTTGGGCCAATGATAGCTGGAAACAATAGAATTGCAAACAATGCAGGTTTAAAGACATATAAACCCAAATATGACCACTGTTTCCCCGGTCACTTTTGAGAATTGCAAAACCATGGGAAGCTCTCTGATGTCAAGCTAATGTTGGTGACTGCTCTCTCTTTCTCTCCCCCTCACTTTTAATATGGTTTACTGTGGCTTCTATCTTAAAGTTCCCCAAGGCATTCCCTGATCACCTTAAAGTCCCTGAAAGAAGAGAGATTGTGTTTTTAGCTGGATTTGTCTATGCAGGTATGGGAAGAAGGAATTAGGTAATTTAGGAATACTTAGCAGTTTAGTCTCACTCAGGACTGAGAATCAGTAACGAAAGTTAAGAGCAGATCATTGGCAATGATTTACACAAGAGATTAATCATGAGTACCTGAAAGAAGGCTTTATTGGAAGAAAACCTAGTCAGCTATAAAAGAAAAAGGAAAAAATTATATAAATAAATATTTTTCTGTATGTTTATGTATGTGTTATATATACATAACACGTGTGTGTGTGTGTGTGTGTGTATATATATATATACACACACATATATAACACTGCTTTATGGTGCAGAGGATATAGTGTGTGTGTGCACTTAGCTCCTTCACCTGTATAAACCTTTTGCCACTTCTCGATGTGTGTCCCAAAAGTAAAATACATCAATAAAACAAGCTTCATCTCAATATAGTCAACTTAACAAGAGGTTCAGAGTGTCGGCCTCTCCTCCACATGGACATTACTGTGACATCTAACTAAGATTGAGAATTTTTGTGGTAGAATTTCAGAAAAAAATTTCCTCTAAATTCATTTGCTGAAGTCCACGGGAATGCCCAGATCTTAATGCTTTCCAGTAACTGATTATTTATTTATTGGATTCAATGAGTTATCTCAGTACCCTTATTTTGCTTAGGATATTACTTTTTTTGTTGTGTTGTGTTTGATTGATTGTTTTGTGACCAAAAGAGCTTAATGTATATTCCAAAATTCACATAGCTTTTGAGTAGCTGCTGAGGATTTGAACTCATATGAATCTGACTCCCAGATGGAAACTGTTTCTTCTCATATCCAAACAGTATTAAGAACAATTCAGTTAAGAACAAAACTCTATAGATGCTTCATTTATAGAATAATATTGATATTTTTATGTATTTCCTATTCACTTTTTGTTGATTTAAATTAATATATTCAATTCATTTACTTTGCGTTTTCTTTAATTTAAACATGAAAGAAATACACCACAATCACTTAGAAACGTTTTGTTTTCACTTTGTTCACTTCCTAATTTCCAATAACCACAAAAGAATTTCTTGAAACTTTGAAAGCTTGAAGCTTTTCTTTTCCTGAGTTTTTCTAGAGAAGGTCAAATTCTCTAAACAGCACAAGTAGGCAAATGTTATGATTACCCTCTACCACAACTACCAGAATGGAGCTGGCTCTCACACCCAATTAGTTATGCAGGGTACAAAGATTCCACAACAGTGGCTGATAACACTGGGCATTTTTCCTTTTCAAAGATCATTTTACTCTTGGAATTAAAGTCACTGATCTCAGCTCACCAGCAAATGTCTGCTGTTCATTGATAGCACCCTTGGGTGCTTATATCAGCTCCTCATTCTGCTATGAAAGCATCTGTGTGGTTGCCTCCCAGAAGATGTTTATTCTGAAATGACATGATTGAAGTGCAGGCCTCATAGTGCAAACTAATTTTCTCTTTTCCTGCTCTTGAATGGACTCTCCTGATGCCTTCACCTGTTCATGGTCAAAACAAAGTATATTTATATATTGTATTTGAGAAAATACATATTAATGTGCCTAGTGAGCAGCTTGAGAATAAATGTGTTTATCAGAATTTTAAAGCAAAAGAGCATGTAAGTTGTAATCTGAATAATTTATTTAGAGAAACGATTATGGCAAAGTGGGTTGAGTTGCAAATATCACATGACCTTTGGTAGTGCTTCTTAGAAAAGTGATGCCTTTTAATATATCCATAAATGTTGCCCCATTCAATTAGTAGTTCCTTGAATTATTGATTAAACAGTTAAACTTATTGATTGAAGTGTCTTGATGTCTCACTGGTATTGAAGGAGCTAAATTAGAGTGGTGTAATAAAAATAGCACTGGATAAGATAATTAACTAGCTGTGTGACCTTCAATAAGTCACTTGACCAAACTGAGCCTCATTTTTCTAAATTGGTAAATAAAATACCTCCTCCATCCTGCCTGTAGGTTGTTGTAATGGTTAAGTGAGATAACACACAGGAAAATGTATGAGAAGCATGTATAGTATGTATGTTTGATATAACTCTATCTACTTTTTATTTGATCAGAATTTGATGAGATAAATTATGGCTTATTTTGTGAATTTGGAGAAAATTGATTATATTTTTGGAGCAGGAAAACATCTATTTTATGGACAAACTGTCTCATTGCAGCTTATTCTCAGTACATTATCACCTAAATAGCCAGATAGTTTCTGAAACCGTAAATCCTTTATAATTTGAGCCACATAAATGTCCATAGGCTTTCACGGGAAGGACACCATTATTTCAGGGGTGTTGATCTTGAGTCTACCACTGGCCTGTCAGCTTAAGAGCAGAAACTATGACATCCTTTCCTTCTGTATCCCAAGCAAAGAAATGGAACATTTTTTATCGGGGCATAACAAACGTTTTGATTATTTTATTGACAGAAAAAAAGACAATTTAAAGGCATCTTTAGTTTTATTTAAAGTATTTAAAAATACCAAACTTGCAATAATAGACTCATATCAGGTTTACATGAAATACTATGGACATTGCTCATTTGTTTCTAAGCCATATTCTTTTCTTAAATAACCAGCTTGTGGAGCTGAACAACTTAGATATTCCATTTAAAAGGTGAACATGTTTGAACTGAGGCATTTCATTTGATTCAAAGTTTGAAGAATTAAGCTGTACCTAGAACTTGAGAGTGACTGAATGCTGTCTCTAAAAGGATCAGTGAAGGATTCCAGGCCTAGAAAAGCTATTTCATTGGAATGTGGGAATGGAGTATACAGCTTATGAGTGTTGAGCACATTAATTCTATGAGCAAAACAGAAAAGTCACAGAGGAATGGCCTGGAACACTGTGACCAATGTGGAGAATCAGAGGTCATTCTTTTCAGAGTCAAAGCTACAGTGATGCGAATAAAGAGTTAAGTTCAAAATTCACCAGTGAGACTCAAATCTAGGTCAGCTTCAAAAGAAATGACCTAACTGTTATTAAGATTCACTGAGTTAGGTCAGAGTGGCAGGGAGAAAGCTGGATGTATTCAAATATTTTCTTTGCCAACCCAATTGTGAAATAAAAATGGGAGTAGAGATGAACTTCAGATGTAGAGATCGGAGGACGTGATATTGGTGAATCGGATAGAGTCAAGTCAAGGGAGTAAGGCAGAGAGGGATGGCACTGTCACTCAACTGAGCATAGCATTTCACTGAATGAGCTTCCATGCTGGGTGGGTGGAAGGCATAATAATAAAGCAGATTAGTATTTTACTGAACAATTGAGGTAAAGATAGAGTTCAGACTTACTGAGACAGTGAGAATATCCTCAGCAAAATAATACAGAAAAGAAAGTTGTACACAATGAGGTGCAGAAGACAGTACCCTGATTCCTGGAGGGTCCTTGGCTTAAAGATGGCTGGCAGGTGTTCAAGGAAAGGTTCTATGAGGCCTTGCAGAGAGCTGTTACTGTGTGATTGAGACTTGGGAAATTTACTGGAGGTTGGACAGGGTTGGAAAACATTGGAATTATAGCCAAACCATAGTGAAGAAACCTCACTAAGCAGCTCAGATACTTAGTTGAGATACCAGAAAAGCCAAATAAGTAGTAAAGGACATGTCCTGAGTAACAGCAGAAACTTAAGATTAAGAATAAAAGAAAAATAAAGGCACATTAGCAAACAAAAGAAAAAAGGTTTATCAATGATGACAATGTCTGTCATTAATCAAACTATTTGACAAAACAAAAATCAGAACCATCTAAAGGAAAACAATATATTTCAAATTACCTATAATAAATAGCTGCAATGTGCAAAATGCAATAAAAATACTGAGCATCAGAAAAAGCAAGAATATATGACCCTTATTTCAGAAAGACGAAATTGTAGTCAGTTAGAAAAGAACTCAAGATAAACCTTTTTTATGATCAGAAGTCTCAAAGACTTTAAAGCAGCTCTTTAAATTAGATTCAAGGAGTTAAAAAATGTGGTAATAATGAATAAACTGATAGGGAATATCAGCAAAAAAATAGAGCCTATAATTTTATTCTGGAAATAACAGGCAGAGTATTTCACAGGAAAAAATAAATCACTGAATGGGATGAACAATAACAGATTTGAGACTGCAATAGAAAGAGACAAATAGTATGAAGACAGATCAGCAGAAAATATCCAATTTTCAGAATATGGAAAAACATGATTTTGAAACAAAATAAACAGGATGGGGAGAGTTGCTCACAGTTGTAATCCCAGCATTTTAGGAGGCCAATGCAGGAGGATTCCTTGAGCCCAGGAGTTTGGGACCAGCCTCAGCAACATAGGGAGACCCCATCTCTACAAAACAATTTTTTTTTCTTTTAAACTAGCTTGTCATAGTGGTGCATGCCTTGTAGCCCCAGCTACTCGGGAAGCTGAGGTTTGGAGGATTGCTTGAGCTGAGGAGTTCAACACTGCAGAAAGCTATGGAATGAGACCCTGCCTCAAAATGGATTAATTAATTATTAAATAACTGAACAAAATATAAACAGGTAGCAAATTGTATTGTAATATTAAACAATCTAATGTATAGACAATTGGGGTCCCAGGAAGTTAGGAGAGAAAGAACAGATGAGAAAAACTATTTCAATATAATAGATGAATTGCCTTAAATTTGGTGAAAAACATCACACTACATTTCCCATATGCAAGTTATTGGGATCAAAAGGTTCAAAATAATAAATACAAAAAAAAAATAAGCACATCACAGTTTAAGGAAAATTAAAGATAAATTGAACTTGAAGGCAGTCAGAGAAAATAGATATATTACATAGAGTGAAGAGCAATATAAATAATAGTGAACTTCTCATTAGGAAAAAATAAATATATGTATAGGTGAGTTTTATCCAATATTTAAGAAATAATACCTACATTACACAAACTCTTCCAGAATATAGAGGAGGAAAAGGAATCTCCCAACTGGCTTTATGATTCTAACATAGTCTGCCACCAAGAAAGTTACCAGCAAATATCCTCCATGACCATAGGTATAAATATCCTTGTCAAAACATTAGGAACATAAATCCAACAACATATTAAAATAATATATTTTCTAAATATAAAATTAATATAAATACACTTTTTCTTTCTTCATTAGAATTATTTTCTAAAAATACATTTCAAGGAATAAGAATACAAGGTCAAAATATCTGAACAAAAAATAAGACTTTTTGAGTAAATAAATGTTTCCCATAAATATTAGTTTTTAATTCTTCCAAGTTCCTACCGAACTAAGCATGTCACACATAATTTCTCTTTTTTATGGCTGTAGAAAATGCAGTTTCCTAAGAAAGATGAGAACTGACTTTTCCAAGGCCCAATAAACAGTAACTATCAGGGGACATAGAGCAAAAATCTTCTGTTATCAAGATTTTTCTATAAATTGTGAAGGAAAAGGAAAAAATCTTTTCCCTTTAAAAATGTTATTGATTACTTTCCAACTTTTTATAGTACTTTATGTTTAATTACAAGATTTGGGGGGAATATGTCAAGAGAGGAGATAGAAGAAATTGATTCAATTTCTTAGGTGTGCATCACTGAATTGTAATAAAAATAGAATAATATAAAATTTTGCCTTTATTAAGTACTAAAGTACTATGTTAAGTGCTTTCACGAATTATTTCGATAAAGTCTAACTATAGTTATGATGGTTTTTCTTTTAAGAATTGATTTTAAAAAGTCCTCTTTTTATATACTTCTCAATGATATAAAATTCCAGTATCAGATAGTTGGTTGCAGACTTAGGACTTAAAACAGGATAGTTGAGACACCAAAACATTTAACTTAATCACATATTTAGCACCTCCGTATTGGTTCATCACAGCATTTACAAGATAAGAATATTCCAGAATTATTAGAAACAAATTCTGAGCTGTAGATTTAGCTTTAGCTTTGTTTTATCAACTATATATGTCTAGTGAAGCTCAGCATTAGAACTAACATGTTTTCTTCCAATAATCCAACTGAGGTCCTCAGGGTGGGTTAACAGCAAAAGTTCCCATTTTTGTTAATGAACCTAGTGTTCTGAGGGCATGAGTAACTTGCCCAAGTTCAATAAAAGTGTCCCCATTCATGCAGATAATTAAGCTTTGCTGGTTTCTATGATAAATGAGCCAAGGGCGCCAAGATTGTGACTTAGGTAAGCAACAGAGATGGATGCTTTGGAGGGGATTGCCATGGAATTCCATTAAGACTGATATTAAGTAAGCAGAATTTCCTCTCTCCTTTAATAATTAGTGGGGGTTGTAATATCACTGTTCTGTCACAAACCATCTGTTACAGTACTAGTTATTAAGAAGAAAAGGGTTTTTGTTTGTTTGTTTGCATCTCTCTTCTAGTTCCATAATTGGTGTATTACCTTTGCAGATGTTTTAGGAAAAATTTAGGACAGAAGTCAATATGGATCCCAACAGCTGATGTAAGAAAGCTTTTACATTGATTATTTACTGTCAGAAAACAGGTATATTATGTAGGTCAGCTGCAGGCTGTGTGAATCTTGATCTCAGAGTATCCAGTGTTTAAAGAACATGTAGATTACCAGGATAACAAAACTAGACTGTTATCTCTTAGAAGACTAGAGTTTAGAAATAATGAATTAGGTCTTCCTTTTAGCTCCCTCAGAGAAAATTTGTGTAGTTATTATCCCTGCATTTATTCACAATTTTCCTTTCTATAAGTGTTTTGCCAGCGTTTGTGAGAAGAAATACAGAAAGGTAACATAATTCCATTTTTTGATGAGTAAGCTGAGACTCAGATTACGTAACCGCTCAAAATTATGCAGCTCACCAGTGAAAAAAACCCAGGTTGTATGACTCTAAACCTAATACTCTTATTATATATCATGCTATAGCTCCTGGATGCAAAGCTCCAGGTCGAGGTACACAAAAATGGATATTCACTTTGCTGCTTTGAGCCCTTTCCAATGCAAGATTTAACAGGAAAGCAGAAGTGTTTACCTTTTGTAGATTTCTTTTTCATATAACTCAACATTACTTGTTTTCAGAAAAGAAGGCAGGAGAAACTTTATTCCTGAAATATTACCAAAGCTGTTATTTGGGATGGGTTTTAGGGATTACTTCCCCTCCCGTACAGTATTGAAATATCTCATAGGGTGTTCTTAACATTCTTAATAGATACCTGAGTGAATGTATGATGTGATAGACTGTTAAGTTAGTGACCCAGAATAAACCAGGCCTCCCAGCACGTGTTCTTATTGGACTTCTCCTGTGTCAAATGGCTCCTCCTTTGGCTAATGGGGCATTAGTAAGTATGAGACTAACAGGGGCTTTATGAGAGTCACACTCTAGACTATTGCTTTTGAAATGTTTAATTTTGGATGTTAATTGATGTGTGTAACTACCCTAAAAGTACCCTGCTTCGAATAAGTCCAAATTATCCACAAAGGGTACGCGCGCGCGCACACACACACACACACACACATGCAAGAAAGAGACTAAACAGTCCCAGCTCTTTACACAACACCAGATGAATTGCCAGACTTTTAAATAAAATATGTTAAATGATCTAGGCCTCCTATATACCCCATGGCATAGAACTGCACAGCTCGACTCCTCCCAAATTACTCAATTGTAAAAACTGATACATTTTCTTCTAAGCCACTAAATTTGGTGAGGTTTGTTGTGCAGCAATAAATATCTGAAACAATCAGATTATTTCATACTTTTTTTCTTGTCAGTAGCTTTTTCATTTTCTTCATGGGATTACATAAAGCAAATATTTTAAATCTTATGGAGCTCCAATTTATTAACTTTTTCTTTATAGATTATGTTTTTGGTATCAACTCTTTTGCCTAGTCATAGGTCCAAAGTTGTTCTCTTATTTTTTTTCCAAACTTTTGATAGTTTTATGTTTTAAATTTAAGACTGTAATCCATTTTGGGTTAATTTTTATGTATGATATGAGAAGTTTATTTCTTTTGCCTAAGGATGTCTGTGATAGCCCTTCTGATGTGTGAACGTGGCTATGCTACACCCTCAGTTATTCAAACACTAATCTTGGTGCTGTTGTAATAGGACTTTTCAGACACAGAGCTTCTAATTAGTTGACTTTAAGTATGAGAGATTATCGATAATCTCGGTGTTCCTTCCTGCATCAGCTGGAAGCTGTTACACAGTGGGCATCTTACCGAGAGAAAGAAATTCCATCCATGGAAAACAGCTTTGGCCAGTGCCCATGAAGTTCTATTCTGTTTATGATTTTCCTTTCCTTTCCTGACTGTGCCATGAATTTCAGAATTGCTTAGCTGTCCCTTCAATTACTTGCACCTGGTCCTTTTTCTCTGGTTGAACCGTGATATAATGGCCAATTACTCCAACACCATTTGTTGAAAAGAAAATCCTTCCTCCTTTGTTTTGCACTATTGTGAAGAATCGGCTGGACATACTTGTGTAAGTCTATTTTTTGTACTGTATTCCACTTATGTAGGTGTCATCCCACTGTCAATACCACACTGTCTTGATTAGTGTAGCTATATAGTAAACTTTGCACACTTTTTTTCAGACTTTTTTTTTTTTTTTTTGAGATGGAGTCTCACTCTGTCACCCAGGCTGGAGTGCAGTGGTGCGATCTCAGCTCACTGCAAGCTCTGCCTCCCGGCTTCATGCCATTCTCCCGCCTCAGCCTCCTGAGCAGCTGGGACTATAGGTGCCCGCCACCACACCTGGCTAATTTTGTTTTTGTATTTTTAGTAGAGATGGGGTTTTACCGTGTTAGCCAGGATGGTCTCCATCTCCTGACCTCGTGATCCACCTGCCTCGGCCTCCCAAAGTGCTGGGATTACAGGCGTGAGCCACTGTGCCCAGCCTTTTTCAGACATTTTACCTTTGCTTGCTGTATATCCCACAACACATTATTATTGTTTTGGTTTTAAGTAGTTAGTTATCTTTTAAAGAGGTTTATAAAAAAATGGACTTATGCTTCTGAAAAAGATTCAATTAATACAGGCACCCATTTTTTTTGTTCTCTATGTGTAATATTTCTTGTTTTCCTCAGATGTCTCTAAGATTTACGTTTTTATATCTGTTTTTATCACTTTGACTATTAGGCCTCTAGGTGTATGTCCCATTTTGTTTGTATCAATTTTTCTTGGAGTTCTCAAGACTTCTTGGTCTGTACTTTATTATATTTTTGAAAATTAATTAAATTTTGTAAATTGTTGTAGATGATCTAATCAATACTTCTTTTTTTGGTTTTCTCTCTTCTTGTTTTATGATTCCAATTATACGTGTGTTAGACCTTTGATGTTGTCCCACAGTTCTTAAGAAATCTGTTAATTTATTTTTTATTTTTTTCTCTTTCAGTTTTGGACTGGGTTACATATATTTATTTATCTTCAATTTTGCTGATTATAGAGTTTGAAGATGAGTTCATTGAAATATCTATTCATTTCTGATATTTTTAAAATTTATTTTATTTCACTTGGACTCTATTGAAATTTTCATGTTCCTGTTGAAACGTGTGTTGTACACCATTTCTCCATGACCTTTAACATGTCAATCAATCATTTTAAGATTTCCATCTGATAGTCATAGCATATAAGTCATCTTTGAGGCTGGTTCTGTGAATTGCTTTATCTCCTGGTAAAGTTTTGTTTTGTTTCTTAGCCTTTTGCTGTGTCTCATAATATTTGATTAAATTCTGACTATTTTGAGGGTAAGAACAAATAAGTGTGGTGGCTCCTGTCTGTAATCCCAACACTTTGCGATGCCAAGGAGAGAGGATCACTTGAGCCCAAGAGTTTGAGACCAGCCTGAGCAACATGATGAAGCCCTGCATCTACAAAAACATACAAAAATTAGCTGGGTGTGGTAGTGCATGCCTGTGGTGCCAGCTACTTGGGAGGTTGAACTGGGTGGATTGCTTGAGCGCTTTCAGCTGTGATGTTGCCGTAGTTACCTTCCATGCATCATAAATTTATTATTTTATTAGTAAAATGTTGTTATCTTGTGCTCAGAATGGAATATATAGCTTAGTATGCAGAATCTTTACGTTGCTCACCATTTTTATTTGTTAGTCTGTTTGAAATTCTTCTGTATATGTCCTCTGTATGTTTGTTATTAGGGGGATGTTAAAGTTATGAGAACAAAATGATTGGTACTTATTAGTATGGCCATTTGGATAATGGTTGTTGGGGCTTCAGGCTTTAAAATTCTCACGCAGTGATTTAGGTCATAGAGAGAAAGTAAAAATGGTACACAAATGTAGAACACAGTAGAAAACTTCTAACACTGATATTAGTAAAATAAAACAATCAAGTTATAAATGTAAATTACTTATAATTATAAATGTAAATTACTTACAATTAAGGATGATATAATTTGTAACTTACCTTGCTTGATCTTGAGGAAATGTCTAGGGAAAAGTTTGGGGAAATTTACCATCACAAAGAAAGAGATCAGGAAATCACAAAGTTCTAAAAGAGTTGTAGTGAGCCTGTGTGCACTCCTTAATTGTGTGCACTTGCTACATCTCCCAATATTATATCTTCCAAGTACTGTATTCATAGCCTAGAAGGAGGCACACTAAATATTTATACTTTACATTATCTGATGGATGCTATTGCCTCATGAAATAAAATACTAGAGAAAAGGGAGTTTTATTAATATGAACACCTCAGCTAGAAGAATATCCAAGAAATATAATTTTTTTTCATGACTTAGTGTTAAATATACCTGTGTTAAAATTCAGTGCAGAGTAGGTGGTACTTAATAATTCTTATCCTCACCTTCCACTCCCCATGCCTGTCAACGGGTTTTAGAAAATAAAACTAAGAATCCTAAATAACGTTCATGTATTTATAAAATTGTATCATTCAACATCTGTTATGTAACCTGCTTTCTTTTTCAATGCCTTGTGACTATATTACCTCACAATTATCCTTTTAAACTTGATTTTTAATGACTAATATTATGATTCATCATTCTTACATACTGACATCCAGTTTGCCAATGCCCTCTTACTGGAATTTCAGTTTATTTTGAGATTTTCATAATTCAGAATGTCTATAAATATTTTGGGGTATTTATAATTACACATATAAAGTAAATTATTACATGCAGAATTTTTGGGTTAAGGGGCATTAATAATTTTGGCCTTTGAAACATACTGATAAATGTGTCTCCCCCTTCTCTATGAACAACAATACTTATTAGCAGACACAGACATACACCCATACACATTTTAGAATTTTGACAGGCCAAAAGAATATTATTTGATTGTGTTTTTCTATGACTACTAGTAAAGATTTAAAAAAATCTATCATGTTTTTACATGGATTTCTTTATTGTAAAAATACCATTTATTCATTCTTAGCTAAAGAATGGCAATTTGTGACTATGGTGTATGTTCATGTATGGCTAACTCAGGATTCATCTTTGATCAGTAATAATTCATTTCTATATCCTTGACTAAAAGACTAGATTCAATACTAACACAAATTATATAATTGCTATGTAATTTGGGCCACATTTTCCCTTCATTTCTGTGCCTCAATTTTACCATTAAAAAATGTTACCAAGAATGAGTTTCATGCTTTGAATTTCATCAAGATGCCATTGGAATAAGTGAAATCATATTCCACATGCTACTGTGACCTCAGCTACCCATGAGAAATGAATTCACACTTTTACATTTTAGCACGCTATTTAATAATGACATTAGAACATTTTTATTTTTATATAGTTAACTGGAACCCTCTCAAAACTCATGTCCTGCATTTCAGAACAAATCATCCCTTCCCAACAGTCCCCCAAAGCCTTAACTCATTTCAGCATTAACTCAGAGTCCATAGTCCAAAGTCTCATCTGAAACAAGGCAAGTCCCTTCTGCCTATGAGCCTGTAAAATCATAAGCAAGTCAATCTTCCTAG
The DNA here is from genome assembly GCF_000001405.40 of Homo sapiens. Classification (NCBI taxonomy): domain Eukaryota; kingdom Metazoa; phylum Chordata; class Mammalia; order Primates; family Hominidae; genus Homo; species Homo sapiens. The sequence goes on along the minus strand of NC_000010.11, from coordinate 107,787,830 downwards.
ATACAATGGGGATACAGGCATTGGGTAAATACAGCTGTTCCAAATGGGAGAAATTGGCCAGAATGAAGGGGCTATGGGCCCCATGCAAGTCTGAAATCCAGTGGGGCACTCAAATCATAAAGCTCCAAAGTGATCTCCTTTGATTCCATGTCTCACATAGGGGTCATGCTGATGCAAGAAGTGGGTTCCCATAGTCTGGGGCAGCTCCATTCCTGTGGCTTTGCAGAGTACAGCCCCTCTTGGCTGCTTTTGTGGGCTGGCGTTGAGTGTCTGCAGCTTTCCTAAGTGCACAGTGCAACCTGTCAGTGAATCTACCATTCTCAGATCTACAGGATGGTGGCCCCCTTCTCACAGCTCGACTAGGCATTATCCCAGTGGAGACTCTGTGGGATGCCTCCAACCCCATATTTCCCTTCCACACTGCCCTAGCAGACGTTTTCCATGAGGGCCCCCACCCCTGCAGCAAACTTCTGTCTAGACATCCAGGCATTTCCATAAATCCTTTGAAATCTAGTTGGAGGTTCCCACACCTCAATTCTTCTGTGTACCACAGGCTCAACACCACATGAAAGCTGCCAAGGCTTGGGGCTTGAACCCTCTGAAGCCATGGCCTAAGCTGTACCTTGGCCCCTCTTAGCCACAGCTAGAGAAGCTGCAATGCAGGACACCAAATCCCTAGCTGCACACAGCAGGGGGGCCCTGGACTCAGCCTAGGAAACCCTCCTAGGCCTGAGTCCTGTGATGAGAGGGGCTGCTGAGAAGGTCTCTGACATGCCCTGGTGACATTTTCCCCATTGTCTTGGTGATAAACATTGGGCTCCTCATTACTTAAGCAAAATTTTGCAGCAGGCTTGAATTTCTCCCCAGACAATGTGTTTTTGTTGTTGTTGTTTCTATTGCATTATCAGGCTGCAAATTGTCCAAACTTTGATGCTCTGCTTCCTCTTGAATGCTTTGCCTCTTAGAAATTTCTTCCACCAGATATCCCAAATCATGTCTCTGAAGTTCAAAATTCCACATATCTCTAGCACAGGGTCAAAAAGCTGCCAGTCTCTTTGCTAAAGCACAGCAAGAGTCACCTGTGTTCCAGTTTCTAAAAAGTTCCTCCTCTCCTCAGCCTGGACTTTATTGTCCATATAATTATCAGCATTTTGGTCAAAGCCATTCAACAAGTCTCTGGAAAGTTCCAAACTTTCCCACATCTTTCTGTCTTCTGAGCCCTCCAAACTGTTCCAACCTCTGCCTGTTACCTAGTTCCAAAGTCATTTCCACATTTTTGGGTATCTCTACAGCAGCACCCCACTACCAGTTAACAGTTTACTGTATTAGTCTGTTCTCATGTGGCAAAAAAAGACATACCTGAGACTGGAAAATTTATCAAGGAAAGAAGCTTAAGGGTCTCACAGTTCCACATGGCTGGGGAGGCCTCACAATCATGGCAGAAGGCTGAAGGAGGAGCAAAGTCACATCTTACATGGCAGCAGGTAACAGATCGTGTACAGGTGAACTCCCCTTTATAAAACCATGAGATGTTGTGAGACTTATTCACTATCAAGAGAACAGCATGGGAAAGACCTGCCTCTATGATTCAATTGCCTCCTGCCAGGTCCCTACCACTACACATAGGAATTATGGGAACTGCAGTTCAAGATGAGATTTTGACAGGGACACAGCCAAACCATATCAGTCCTTATCAGTAATTACTTTAAATGTAAATGGATTAAACTCCCCAGTAAAAGATTAGCTGAATGAAAATAAAGCAGAACAAAACAGGATCCAACTATACACTGTTTACAAGAAGCTCACCTTAGATCTAAGAGCACTCATAGGCTGAAAGTGAGAGGATGGGAAAAGATAGTACATGAAAATAATAAGTGAAAGTATGCAGAAGTGACTATATTTATGCATAAGAAAAGAGACTTTAAATCAAAAACCATTCCAAGAGACAAAGAAGAATACTATATAATAATAAAATGTTCAATTTACCCAGAAACGCTAACAATTATAAATATATATGCACAAAACCTAAGGGCTGCTAAATATAAGAGGCAAATTTCAACAGAATCAAAAGAAGAAATAGCAAAACAATCATAATAGGAGACTTCTCTACCCCTTTTCAAACTGAATAGAATGACTAGACAGAAAATCAATAAGGAAATAGAGGACTAGAACAACACCATAGACAATTGGACCTAACCGATCCCTATACGGAACACCACCACACATCACTCACCAGCAGATTATGAATTCTTCTCAAGTGCTCATGCAACATTCTCCAGGATAGACCACAAAGCAAGTCTTAGCAAATTTAAGAAGACTGAAATCATACAAAGTATATTTTTTAATCATAATAGAATGAAATTAGAAATCAATAGCACAAGGAAAATGAAAAAACTCACACGTATATGAAAACTAAACATTTTATCAAAACAACCAAAGAAGAAGTCACAAGGGGAATTAGAAAACATCTTGAGGCAAATAAAAATAAAAACACAACATACCAAATCTTATGGGGTGCAGAGAAAGCAGTGCTAAGAAGGAAGTTTATAGCTGTAAATATGTACATTAAAAAGAAGAAATATCTCAAATAACCTAACATTATACCTCAGAAAATAAAAAAATAGAACAAACTAAACTCCAAGCTAACAGAAAGAAGGAACTAATAAAGATTAGAGAAAAGCCAAAGAAGGGACAAGGCTGCTGACTAGATGCAGTCAGGAAGCACAGCTCCCATGGAGAGAGTCCAAATTATTGGTAAATTGCTATGGTTTGGACAGATCTTTGAAGAGAAAATGCTCAGAGTGGATGGAGAGGCAATGTTGAAGACTAAAGTCAAGACTGCAGAGGAAGGAAGCTGGGAACCCTGCTCAAGGTGTCTGAAGGCCAGGGCTATTTCCCAGCCCCAAATAGCTTCTAAGAAAGGGGTGAGGGAGGAAGCTGAGAGATAACTCACTCTCACTGCAGACCTCGGGGTTCCTAGCTACAGGGGACCCTGCATCCTCCATGTGCAGGGGGATCTCAGGGAGCAGGCAGAAACAGGCCTTTGGATGGCATGAAGCTCAGGAGCTTTTGTATACTGGGCAGCTCTGGTGGAGGGGCCAGCTTCCCCATGGGATTGGGACAGATCTGCTCTCCAAGCCCCCCTGCCCACTGGACATTCCCATGGTCCATGCCTAGCTGCCATGCAGAAGCAGTGCACAGCACAACCCCCACAGCCCAACCTGTGTGTGTTGCTGTACCTGAGTACTTTTCTGGTGACCCAGGAGCACATCTGTTCCCCGAGTGCAGCTGGAACCTCAATCCAAGCTGCAAGATATCCCAGTGTCCCTAGGGCTGCAGCATGCAGTTCAGGAGTGCAGAGCTGAGATCTGTGGTTGTCACTCAAGAGAGAAAGAAGCCCCCACCCTCAAAGCACTGAGAGGGATGAAACACATATGTTACTGGGCTGGAGTGGGAATGGGATGTGTCTTCCTCCACAGGGTTGGCCCAGAAAAAGTGTGACACATCTCCTGCCGCAGCCACTGCACCTAAGAAAAAGAAATGTGGGTGCAGCACCAGCAATCAGAGGGGGTTTCCCCAAGACCCAGGAGTGGAACTGGAAAGGAGACCATCTCCGTCCCCCTGCAATGAAGAGCATGCCTGCAAACCCCAAGGAAGTATATAAAAGCAATGCAGCCAGGTATTAACCTAACTACTAGCCATTGCTCTTAAGCATCAGACAAAAGTAAAGAAAAATAATTAAGAAAAATTAACAAAACCTCTAGAAATATGGAATTATGTAAAGAGACCAAATCTATGACTCACTGGCATTCCTCAGAGAGGAGAGAAAATAAGCGATGTAGAAATTATGTTTGAGTATATAATCCACAAAAATTTCCCGAATCTTTCTAGAAAGGTTGATATATAAATCTAAGAAATATAGAGAACCCCAGCTAGATGCTACAAGACAACCATTTCCCAGGCACACAATCATCAGATTCACCAAGGCCAATGCAAAAGAAAAAATCTTAAAGACAGCTAGAGAGAAGGGGCAGGTCACTTACAGAGGGAACCCCATCACTCTAGCAGCAGATATCTTAGGAGAAACCTTACAAGCCAGACAAAACTGGGGACCAATTTTCAGTTTTCACTGTTCTTAAAGAAATTCCAACCAAGAATTTTATATCCCACCAAATTAAGCTTGGTAAGTGAAGAAGAAATAAAATCCTCTTCAGACAAGTAAATGCTGAGGGAATTAGACTAGCTTTGCAAGAGGTCCTTAAGGGAGCACTAAAGATTGAACCAAAAGAATGGTGTTACCACATATGTTACCACAAAAACACACTTAAGCACACAGCCCACAGACACTGTAAAGCAACTACACAATGAAGTATACATAACAACCAGCTAACAACACATTGACATGATCAAAATTATACATACCAATACTAACCTGGAATGTAAGGGGGCTAAATGACCACTTAAAAGATGAAGAGTGGCAGCCTGTACAAAAAGACAAGACCTAAGCATCTGTTGACTTCAAGAGACTCATCTCGCATGTAATGATCCATAGGTTTAAAGTAAATGAGTGGAGAAAAATTTATCATGCAAATGGAAAACAAAAATGAGCAGGAGTCACTATTCTTGTATCAGATAAAACAAATTTTAAACCAATAAAAATTAAGAAGGATAATGAAGGGCATTACATAATAATAAAGATTAAAATTCAACAAGAAGCCTTAACTATCCTAAATATATACATAACCAATATGGAAGCACCAAGACTTAAAAAAACAATTTCTTCTGAGCCTACAGAAAGACTTAGAGAACCCCACAATAATAGTAGGAGAATCAACACCCCACTGACAGAGTTGGACAGATCATCAAGGCAGAAAACTAACAAAGAAACTCTGAACTTAAACTAGACACTTGACTAATTGGACCTCATAGACCTCTACAGAACACTCCACCCAACAAACACAGAATAGACATTCTTTCTGCACATGCTTCATGCTGTAAGATCGACCACATACCAGTCATAAAGCAAGCCTCAATAAATTTAAAGAAATTTAAATCACACCAAGCACACTCTCAGGCCACAGTGTAATAAAAATAGAAATCAATATCAAGATCTATTAAAACTACACAAATACATGGAAATTAAACAACTAGACCCTGAATAATGCCTGGGTGAACACTGAAATTAAGGAAGAAATAAAAAAGTTACTTGGAATTAATAAAAATAGGGACACAACTTACCAAAATCTCTGGGAAACACCAAAGCAGTGGTAAGAGAAAATTTTATAGCCCTAAATGCTTTCATCAAGAAGTTAGAAAGATCTCAAATTAACAATCTAACTTTGCACAAAAAGGGGCTAGGGAAAAAACAACAACAACCACAAAGCTAGTAGAAGGAAAAAAAATAAAACTAATGTTAGAAAAGAAGTTAATGAAACTGAAATGCAAAAATACACACAAAAGATCAATGAAACCAAGAGTTGTTTTTGAAAAAACAAATAAGAGTGATAGACTGCTAGTTAAACTACCAAAAAAGAGAAGATCCAAATAAGTACAATCAGAAATTACAAAAATGACATTAAAACTGATCCCACAGAAATATAAAAGTGCCTCAGAGAATACCATGAACAACTGCATGCAAATGAGAAAATCTAGAAGAAATGAATAAACTCCTTGAAGTGAATAGAGTTCCCAGAACTAAATCCTTGCATATATGGTCAAATTATTTTCAATAAGTGTGCCACAAAAACTCAAGAAATGATAGAGAGGATAGTCTCTTCCACAGATAGTGTTGGGAAAAATGGCTATCCACATGTAAGGAAAAATAAGATACCTTACACCAAACACAAAAATTAACCTAAAATGAATTTAAAAACTAAACATGAGACCTTAAACTATAAAACTCCTAGAAGAAAATGTAGGGGAAACTCTTTATGATATTGAACGTGGACATGATGTTTTGGATAAGACTCCACACGCACGGGCAACAACTGCAAAAATTGATAAACGTGACTACATCAAACATAACTTTTATGCATCAAAGGACACAATTAACAGTAAAAAAGGCAACATATGGAATAGAAAATATATGCAAATCATATCTAATAATGGATTAATAATTATGTATATAAAGAACACCTACCTCAACAACAGAAAATCAAATAACTACTTTAGTTACCTCATAAAAGTGGAATTACAAAGAATTTTCTTTTAGTGATTGGCTAATTTCATTTGATGCAATGTCCTCAAAGTTTATACTTGTTTAAAATGAGCAAAGGAACTTGAGTAGAAATTCCTCCAAATACGATAAACAAGTGTATGAAAGATGCTCAACATCACTATCAGAAGTGCACATTAAAACCACCAAGAGCTATCATCTCACACCCATTAGGATCACTACAATAAAATAAAAATTAGAAAACCAGTGGAGGATGGCAAAAATGTGGAAAATATAAAGCCCTTGTATTATGTTGGTGAAATTATAAAATGGTGGGCCTGCTATGGAAAACATTATGCAGGTTCCGCAAAAATTAACAAGAGAACTTTCATATGATCCTGCAGTCCCAATTCTGGATCTATATCTAAAATAATTAAAAGCAGAATCTCAAACAGATAGTTACACACGTATATTTATAGAAGCGTTATTTGGAATAGCCAGAGGTAGAAGTCACTGAAATGACCTTCCACAGATGAAAGGATAAACCAAATATAGTATATTCATACAAGAGAATATTATATACCTCAAAATGGAAAGGAATTCTGATTAATGTTGAAACAAGTATAAACTTTGAGGACATTGTGTCAAGTGAAATTAGCCAATCACTGAAAGAAAATACTGTATAATTCCACTTTTATGAGGTATCTAAAGTAGTCAAATTCATAGAAACACAAAGTAGAATGGTAATTACTAGAGGCTCTTGGGAGGGAAGAAAAAAGGGAGTTTTTGTTTAGAGTATGAAGTTTCAGATTTGCAAATGAAAAGGTTCTGGAGGTATGTTTCACAACAATGTAAATGCACTTAGTACTACTTAACTGTAGTCTTAAAAATGGTTAATATAGTACATTTTAATGTGTTTTTAACCAAAATACAAAAATGCATTATAATGCCAATTATGACTGGCTTTATTTTTTTACTTATGACTGCTTTGGCATGTTTCCATGTGTTTATTTAATACTTTGGAGCTGAAGAGGGTATTAAAGATCAATCACAGCATTTCCATTTAATAAATTAGCATGATAGGTTGATTGCATAGATGGTACTTTTTTAAAAATCTCATCTTGTATTCACACCTTTGCTTTCTGACTCTTCAGTTTCCCTTACTTACAAGGCAGAGTCTTTTCATAGCACTGTAATAGGTACTGTGGAAACTCACCAAGATTCCCTTCACCAGGCTGCCATGAATATTGGCTGCCAACAGCTTTTACCTCCACCCTTTGTTGGGGAATCGCACTTGGCTAAACAAGATCCCAAAGTCAGGTTATGGCCAATGATTGATGGGAAGGGTGTACAATATGGCCTTAAGGTGAGACCAACGCAGGGGTGCAATTTTTGCTTTAGAGCTGAAGCTTGTCTCAAACTAATACCACATCATAAGTTAACTTTCTTCCCGAGCTTTATCATGCTTCCTTAACTTCCCTTCGACTGAGAGCAATCCCTCAATAAAACACTGTTACAATTACCATCATGAGCAACAATAAATTATTATTGTCATAAACTGTTGAGTTTTCAGGTATGTTGTTATACATGGTTATTAACTGATACAATTAGAACACAAAATAAATAGTAGTATCTAGCCATTAAAAATCATAATGGAAACTCTAGTCATTGACTCCAAGACATGTCAACAAAACATTTTTGCTTGAAAATAAAAGCTAGTCACAGAAAATCATGTAAAGCAATCTTCTTTTGTTAAGGAAAATGAACGTGTATTTCTATTCAGACATTTAGGAATAGAGAAATGTTTGACAGTGTCTTCAAGGAGTTAAAAGTGTTTAGCCCTGTATGGAAGTATTATATATAATATATTATTTTTGTCTTTAAATTTATTTTATACCATTTGATGTTTAAATTGAATGTTTAAAATTTGAATTAAAGTTCTTTAAATAAATTAGTGATCTGAATTTTGTGTTTCTTCTTTAATTGTTTCAACAGTTTTGTCAAATACGCCAGCTAGACTTACTTTCTTTCTCTCCATATGTTGTATCTAGATATCTTTAAAGGGGAAATGTTTGACTGTTTTCTTTGTGCATTAGTTTTATGTTTTTCTTACTGTGTAGACGAGTGAAATGCTGGAGTTTTCTTAATCTGTGTTACAGTTAAGACTTCAGAGTTATGAAACATTTTCAAAAGTTGTAGCACACCAGTTATAGTGTCAGATACCGTGTTTGACATTCTTTTGCTCATGATTTTTCTCTGACTTCAATTTTCTTTTTGTGTGTGTGTGTGTGTTTCCAACATATTTATTTTTGTGTTGTTGATTGCACAGAATAGAAACCACACACTTCAATTTTCTTAACTGAGGGTGTTCTCTGGCTTAATAATGTAAATGTTCAAATTATTTTAAAATTATAACAACTAAAAGACATAATGTTGTCCATGAAAAACCTTTAATGATAGTCTGCTTACAAAATAAAATATGAGATGATATACATTTTAGAATTTTGAATAAAAGCAAGGTGAACAAAATCCATACTTTAGGGAAAAATTCAGCTGTTGTAATCTAAGTTCACTGGATGAGTTACCTCACATCTCTGTTTTCCCCCAAATTCTATAACTAAATGCAAATAAGAATAACCTAAGCTTCATTGAACAAATGTATCAATAACTGTTTTCTATTATCTGGTAAGATACATACTAACATTATTCACACTTTCAGGTAAATTTTACAAAAGTTAGAAGTTAGAGAATGGTTGTGTGAACTTATTCAAGGTCACACAGTTAGTAGGTAGTATAATATATTTGCTACTTTGACCCTAGCCTCTCTGACTCCATAGTTTAAATTGTTAACTTCTATTATAAATGTATTATCTAATGGGTTCAAATAATGAAAGATGAATTAGAATCATCTAGATAACATAGACATTCCTTAGAAGAGATTATATATGCCTGTTATGAATTACACTGAACCAGTAATATAAAATAATCCATGCCCATTTACCTACATTTAGCCATTGACAATTAGCAAAAAAACACTCTGATCCACTTCTGCAAAGTAAGTTCTTGTCTTCCATCTTTTCATGGAAAAGTTGTTTTCTAACATCCTTTTATTTTTTTCTGTTGTAGCAACTGAAATGCATTTTCCTATCACTATCCACAAATAAAAATTTCCTCTTAAGAAAACTTCCAGGGGCTCCTACAGCAAATCATTAATATTGACAACAAATTAAAACTAAGAAAGGAGAAGGTTTTTTCTTAAAGTGTGGGATTCAAGCTAAGACATGTTTTAATCAGAAAATGTTTCTTCAGACATACAGTGTAAGACTATCAAGATTTCTCCAGGTCACTGGGGATCAGTGCTACATTCAGGACTGGCCTTCATAAAAATTGGGAATGAAAGCTATTTAACTATTGTGTGTGCCCAAACTCCTGCCTCCATTCCCCCCACCATGCTCCATCTTTCCCGATGTGTTGCTTTTCATTTTCCCTTCAGGCTTTAGGGAACCTGTTTCTGTCCTCCATTGATTACTTATATACGTCATAGACTTTGCTAGATGCATTAAAATAAAGAAAAGAAAATAAATTTTTCTCCATTCTTACATAGATATTTCATAGAAATTTGGATTCCACTATTGGTGGCATGGTTTGGAGAGACTAAACTTCCTTTAGATACCATTACAAATCTCAAGAAAAAAAGGTGGAATTTCTGAAGAACAAGCAAAAATGGGCATAAACTGGAGGGAAATTAACCTTTGAAAGACAAACTACAAAGAACAGATTTGCAAGTTTGAAGCTCTATCTCATGAGCATGCACAGATTCAAAAGTGACTTTTCTATGCAAAGCAGCCGAATTAGTTTTACAGGATGTCCAAGGATGATTTGGAGGCTCATAGTATAGCAGAAAGTTAGAGGAAAACTTCTAGAAGTAAAGGACCCATAGAAGAAGTGAGCCCTAAAGTGTGCATATAAATTCTTCCAAAAAAAAAAAAACACAAACTTTTTGACCACTAAACTGTACACGCCACAAGATTTCAGAGAATCTGATACAAAAGCAAAAGCTGGAAGCTCACAGAAGTGAGAGAAAACTTCAGTTACTTACCATTTTAGGAGAGGCAGAGTCTGGAATTTTAACCAAGTTAACTGCTCTTCAGAAATTATCACTTTTAAGGAAAACATAACAGGAAAGATCACAGTGTTAGGAGAGAAAATAGAACATGTATGTGTTTTGAGGGGAGTGGATTAGAATAGGTGGTTTAATTAGAGAAAGTGATGAGGAAAGACTGCCATTGAAGCTAGGATATAAAGAAAGAGAAGGAGGCAGCTAGTGATAAACTAAGGCATGGTTCTGAGGTGAAGAAGAGCACATGGCCTGGTGGATAGTTTATCTACAGCAAGTACTTTTCAACCAATAAACCAACAAATGTCATTAGTGATTCACTTGTACCAGAAACATTGACTACCAATAAAATCTATGAATTGTGATCATGGGTTTGAGAACTAAGCTGGATCAAGTTTCTGCCTGTAGGTCTGACTCCCCTTAAAGTGTCAATTCTCTGGTTTGTATAAGATTATAAAGGTTTTCAGTGATTGTATATAAGATTTCTCCTTCTGAACTCATTCAACAATCAGAATTCTTTTTTTTTTTTTAACAATACAGAGCATTTATTGAGAACTTTTCTTAAGTCAAGTACAACTCTTACTGCTTTGTAACTGAGTCATTTACTTATTGCTTAGTAACATGCTACCCAGAAAACATCTTAAAACAATAACAGTCAATAACTGTGCTCACAAATCTGGGGGTTGAGTGGGCTCAGAGTTTGTCATGCAGTTGCAGCTAGGCAGTGGCTGGAGCTTGGGCCGGGACATCTTGAAAGGTTTTCTATGTATTTATTTATGCACTCAGAATTCTTACCAAATTCTTGATATTCATCATGTAGTTTTTTAGTATTAGTAATTTTCTTTTTTTAAAAAAATCTTATTTTAGGTTCAGGAGTACATGTATAGGTTTGTTATGTAGGCAAACTCATGTCACAAGCTTTTGTTGTACAGATTATTTTGTCACCCAGGTACTAAACCTAATATCCATTAGTTATTTTTTTATACTCTCCCTCCTCCCATCCTCTACCCTCAAGTAGGCCCCAACATCTGTTGTTCCCCTGTTTGTGTTCATGTGTTCTCATCATTTAGCTCCCACTTAAAGTGAGAGCATGCAGCATTTGGCTTACTGTTTGTGTGTTAGTTTGCTAAGGATAGTGGCCTCCAGCTCTATCCATGTTTCTGCAAAGGCCATGATTTTACTCTTTCTTTATGGCTTCATAGAATCCCATGGTGTATATCTACCATATTTTATTCATCCAATTTACCATTAATGGGAATTCAGGTTGATTCCATGTCTTTATTGTGAACAGTGCTGCAGTGACCGTGTGCATGCCTATGTCTTTATGGTAGAATGATTTATATTACTCTGGGTATATACCCAGTAATGGAATTGTTGGGTCAAATGGTAGTTTTGTGTTTAGCACTTTGAGAAATAACTACACTGCTTTCCACAATGGTTGAACTAATTTATACTCCCACCAACACTGTATAAGTGTTCTCTTTTCTCCAGAGCCTCACCAGCACCTGTTATTATTTGACTTTTTAATAATAGCCATTCTGACTGGTGGTTTTGATTTGTATTTCTTTAATGATCAGTGATATTTAGCATTTCTTGCCATACTTGTTGGCCATATGTATGTCTTCTTTTGAAAAGTGTCTGTTCATGTCCTTTGCCCACTTTTTAATAGGATTGTTCCATTTTTGCTTTTAACTTGTTAAAGTTCCTTATAGATTCTGGATATTAGGCCTTTGTCAGATGCATAGTTTGCAAATATTTTCTCCCATTCTGTGGGTTGTATGTTTACTCTGTTGACAGTTTCATTTGCTTTGCAGAAGGTCTTTAGTTTAATTAGATCCCATTTGTCAATTTTTGCTTTAATGTAATTGCTCCTAGTGCCTTTGTAATAAAACCTTTGCCTGTTCCTATGTTCAGAATGCTGTTGCCTAGGATAACTTCCAAGGTTTTTATAGTTTGGGGTTTTACACTCAAATCTTTAATCCATCTTGAGTTTATTTCTGTTTATGGTTTAAGGAAGGGGTCCAGTTTTAATCTTTTGCATACGGTTAGCCAGTTATTCCGTTGTTATTTGTTGAATAGGGAATCCTTTCTCTATTGATTATTTTGGTCAGCTTTGTCAAAGATCAGATGGTTGTAGGTGTATAGCCATATTTCGGAGTTGCTCTCTATTCTGTGCCATTGACCTATGTTTCTGTTTTTGTACCATGTTGTTTTGGTTACTGTAGCCTCGTAGTATAGTTTGAAGCCCGGTAATGTGATGCCTCTAGCTTTGATCTTTTTGCTTTGGATTGCCTTTGCTACTCAGCCTCATTTGGTTCCATATGAATTTTAAAATAGTTTTCACTTGTTCTGTGAGGAATGTTATTTGTAGTTTGATAGGAATAGCATTGAATCTATAAATTGCACTGGGAAGTATAGCCATTTAGCAATATTTATTTTGTCTTCTCTGAGCATAAATTGTTTTTTCATTTATGTCACCTCTAGTTACTTTGAGCAGTGTTTTGTAATTCTCTTTATAGAGATCTTTTACCTCCCTGGTTAGCTGTATTCCTAGGTAATTCATTCTTTTTATGGCAATTGTGAATAGAATCGTGTTCCTGATTTGCTATTGGCTCGGCTGCTGTCGGTTTATAGGAATGCTGCTGATTTTTATATATTAATTTTGTATCCCCAAATTTTTCTATAACTGTTTATCACTTAAGGAGCTTTTGAGCTGAAACTGTAAAGTTCTCTAGATATGAAATCATGTCACCTGAAAACAGAGATAATATGACTCCCCCTTTTTTATTTGGATGCCCTTTATTTCTTTCAATTGCCTGATTGCTCTGGCCAGGACTTCCAATACTGTGATGAACAGGAGTGGTGAGAGAGGGCATCCTTGTCTCGTGCTGGTTTTCAAGGGGAATGCTTCTAGCCTTTGCTCATTCAGTATGATGCTGGCTATAGGTTTGTCATGGATGGGTCTTATTATTTTTTGGTATGTTCCTTCAATATCTCATTTTTTGAGAATTTTCACCATGAAGGGATATTGAATTTTATCAAAAGCCTTTTCTGCTTCTGTGGAAATAATCATGTGGACTTTTGTCTTTAGCTCTGTTTACTTGATAAATCACATTTATTGATTTGTGTATGTTAAGCCATCCTTGCATCCCAGTCATAAAGCCTACTTGATTATGGTAGTTTAGGCTTTTGATGTGCTGCTGGATTTGGTTTGCTACTATTTTGCTGAGGAGTTTTGTATCAATGTTCATCAATAACATTGGCCTGATATTTTCTGTTTTTGTTGTGTTTCTGCCACGTTTTGGTATAAGAGCAATGCTGGCCTCATAGAATGAGGTGATGCGATTTCCCTCCTCCTCTTTTTTGGAAAAGAGTTTCAGTAGAAACGGTACCAGCTCTTCTTCATGCACTTAGTAGAATTTTGCTGTGAATCCATCTGGTCCCAGGCTTTTTTTTTTTTGATTGATGGGATATTTATTACTAGTTCAATTTTGAAGCCCATCATTGGCCTGTTCAGGGATTCAATTTCTTCCTGATTCAGAATTGAGAGGGTGCATACATCCAGGAATTTATCCATTTCTTCTAAATTTTCCAGTCTGTGTGCATAGAGGTATTCATAGTAGTCTCTGGTTCTTTGTATTTCTCTGGGGTCAGTACTAAAATCCCCTTTGTCATTTCTGATTGCATTTATTTGGATCTTCTCTATTTTTTTTTATTAGTCTACTAGGGGTATATCTATCTCATTTATTCTTTCAAAAAACAAACTCTTGGATTTGTTGATCTTTTGAGTGTTTGTTTGTGTCTCAATTTCCTTCAGTTCCACTCTGATTTTGGTTATTTCTTGTCTTCTGCTGGTTTTAGGTTGCTTTTCTCTTGCTTCTCTACTTATTTTTATTGTGATGTTATTTGCTAACTTGAGATCTTTCTAACTTTTTGATGTGGACATTTAGTGCTATAAAGTTTCCTCTTAACACTGCCTTAGCTGTGTCCCAGAGATTCTGGCATGTTATATCTTTGTTCTCATTAGTTTTAAACTGTTTCTTGGTTTTTGCCTCTATTTCATTATTTACCCAAAAGTCATTATGGGCGAGCTTGTTTAATTTCCATGTAATTGTATGGTTTGAGAAATGTTTGTAGTCTTCATCTCTATTTTTGTTGTACTGTGGTTTTAGAGAGCAGTTGGTATAATTTGGGTTCTTTTGCATTTGCTGATAGTGTCATTGATTTTAGAGTACGTGCCGTGTGTGGATGAGAGGGATGCATTTTCTGTTATTTTTGATGGGAGTGTTCTGCAGATGTTTATTAGGTCCATTTGCTCCAAATTTTGAGTTCAAGTCCTGATCATTGTTAATTTTCTGCCTTGATAACCTGTCTAATAATGTCAATGGGGTGTTAAAGTCTCCCACTATTGTTGTGTGGTAGTCTAAGTCTCTTTGAAGGTCTCTAAGAACTTGACTTATGAACCTGGGTGCTACTGTGTTGGTTGCATATGTATTTAAGACAGATTTTCTTGTGGAATTGAATCTTTTTCCATGAAGTAACACTCTTTGTCTTTTTTGATCTTTCCCGGTTTAAAGTCTGTTTTGTCTGAAGCTAAGACTGCAACTCCTGCTTTTTTCTGTTTTTTTACTTGCTTGGTAGAATTTTGTTCATCCCCTTATTTTGAGCCTATGGATGTCATTTCTTATGAGATGGGTATCTTGAAGACAACATACCATTGGGTCTTGCTTCTTTATATAGCTTGCTACTCTATGCCTTTTAATTTGGTCATTTAGCCCATTTACATTCCAGGTTAGTATAGATATGTGTGGATTTGATCTGTGATCATGTTAGCTGTTTATTATGCAAACCTGACTGTGTTATTGTTTTATAGTGTCATGGTCTGTGTACTTAAGTCTGTTTTCATAGTGGCTGGTAACGGTCTTTTCTTTCCATTTTCCTTCTTTCAGGAACTCTTGTAAGGCAGATCTGGTGGTAATGAATTCCCTTAGCATTTACTTGTCTGAAAAGGATCTTATTTGTCCTTCACTTATGATACTCAGTTTTGCCAGATAAGAAATTTTGGTTGGAATTTCTTTTCTTTAAGAATATTGGATATAGGTCCCCAATCCCTTCTGGTTTGTAAGGTTTTTGCTCAGAGTTTCACTGTTAGTCTAGTGGGCTTCCCTTGAAGGGGATCTGTTCTTCCTCTCTGGCTGCCTTTAACACTTTTTCTTTGATTTTAACCTTGGAGAATCTGATAATTAGGTGTCTTTTGGGTGATCTTGTGAAGTATCTTGCAGGGGTGTTCTGCATTTCCTTAATCTGAGTGTTGGTCTTTCTAGCTAGATTGTGGAAGTTCTCACAGATGATATACTGAAATGTTTTCCAAGTTGCTTCCATTCTCCCCATCTCTTTCAGGGACGACAATGCATCATAGATTTGGTGTCTTCATATAATCCCACATTTCTTGGAGGTTTAGTTGTTCCTATTCATTCTTTTTTCTTTATTCTTGTCTGGCTGTTTTACTTTAGAAAGTCAATCTTCTGGCTCTGAGACTCTTTCTTCCACCACTTGGTTTATTCTGCTGTTAATACTTGCAATTGCATGATGAAGTTCCTGTAGTGTGTTTTTCAGCTCTATCAGGTTGATTATACTCCTTTCTATACTGAGTATTTTGTCTGTCAGCTCCTGTATTATTTTATTGTTATTCTTAGCTCCCTTGGATTGGGTTTCAGTGTTCTCCTAAACCTCAGTGATCTTCATTCCCATCCATATTTTTTATTCTATTTCTGTCATTTCAGCCATCTCAGCCCAGTTACAAACCCTTGCTGGAGAACTAGCGCAGTGGTTTGGAAGAAAGAGGGCACTTTGGCTTTTTTGTTTGTCAGAGTTCCTGCTCTGGTCCTTTCTCATCTTTTGGGGCCAGTGTTCCTTCAGTCTTTGAAGTTTCTGTCCTTTGGATGATGTTTTCCTTTTAATTGTCTTTTTCTCTATTTGATGCCCTTAGGAGTTTGATTGTAGTATCAGGTGGGTTCAGTCAACTGACTTCATTTCTGGAAGATTTTATTAGGCCAAGTTTCAGCTCAGGACTTCCAGACTCCATGCTGTAACTGTAGGGGGACTGGTATTGGGCTGTGGCTTTGTTCTCTGGCTCCTCAAGTCCAGGAACCTGCAGCATTGGAGGGAGCAAACTGCTCTCAGACCACTGGTCACAACATTCTATTGGGTGATGCCAGCCAAAGCACTGTGGTGCCAGCCAAAACATTTCATAGGGCAGTGGCAGCAGGATCCATTCTTGTTCACACATTCCAGCAGCAGCAGCAGTGACAGTGCAGCAGGCTGTACACTTTTTGGCTGCTGTGGGGTGTTAGTGGGTGCCAGAGTACTGGCCCGCATGTGGGTATTTACAGCAGAAATGGTGGCAGTAGGGCATGAGGGGTGGGGGCCCCTGCCACCATATGTTTGTGCATTCACACTTGTGGTGGTGTTAGCATGGGGTTAGCTGGTGGGCACAGTACTGTGTGCACCTTCTGTGTGCATTCACATGGGTACTGGTGGCCACAGCAACAGGTCCATTATTCTCTGTGGCTTGTTTTGCACTGGTGGCCATGTTGGCATGGGTACAGGGTGCTGGTGGCTGCAGAGCTGGCAGGCTCTGTGCTTGCCAACACTCAAATAGCCATGGTGGTGTGGTAGTTGCAGGGAGCAAGGACAGGTGAACTTATGCTGCCAGCAGTGGCACAGCAGGGCCCATATGAACACATGTGCTGGCAGAGAAGGGGAGGCAAAGTCCGCCCATGTACACACAAGCCAGCAATGTGGGGTTGGCCATGGGAAAGTGTGTGTAGGCAAAGCAGCATGGGGGAGGATGCAGTGGGGAGAGGGTATGGGCAGACTGGTGCATGTCTGCAGTGGCCACTCTGCTGGAGCTCTGTGTAGCACAGAAGCTATAATTGAGGCTCCCAGGATATACCTGCCCTGGGCTCCCAGGGCTGCACTGTAAGCAGCCGTGGCCAAGCTGGGGCCCCAGGAGAGGCCAGCAGACTGAGGGGTACTTAGATCAGACTGGCACAGTCTCATGGGCAAGATCACCCTGCAGAGTTCAGGTCCAACAGTTCCCCTGGGGTCAAAATATCCTATGGGAGCAAAGAAACACTGGGGGCCACGAATGAGTCCTGGTGTGCAGTAGCCCCATTCAGGCTTCCCAGCTTCCTCTCCCATCAGCCCAGCATCTGTGTCTTCCCTCTCTCCACTGTCAATGACTTCCCTCTGAAGATCTGCTCAGAGCAGGCCAGTCTTCCTGATTTCCTAGTCCTCAGGTAGCAGGTGTTCCTCCTGGCTGCATCTAGTCAGTCATCTTGCCCCATGTGCTGAGTATTAGTAATTCATTTTAGGTCATGAGCTTATTAGTCTCCACTGTGCCTAGCCCAGTGCTAACATTTCTAAATTAATATTACGTTGTAAATGCCTTTGACATATGGAATTTCTGGAATGCAGACATGTGTTCACTTTGTTAATGTGTATTCCTGGACTGATTATAACACCCATCACTTTATAGGTTTTCAATTGTGGTCTTATAGTGGTCTGCTGCATCTTCATATTGTGATCTCACTACAATCTTTGGAGGCAAGATAAATCAAAAAAGACAGGACAGCTTAGAGAAGTTAAGTGACTTGCCAAGGTCATATTGTTAGTATTCCTTCTACACTGTGTTGCCCCCTTTAGGGCTAAATGTTCAAGAGTGGCAGAAATAGCAGAGTGCTGTGGAAGACAATATCCTTGAATTATACATGTCATCTTCTTTTGAACTAACATCAAGGATGTTTCCTCAGTAATTACAAGATTTAAGTAAGTGTACACTTACTATGTGCCAGTACTGTGTCAAGTTGTTCTTGCCTCGTCTGAGTTGTCGGTTTTTTTTTTTTTTTTTTGAGATGGAGTCTCACTCTGTCACCCAGGCTGGAGTGCAATGACAAGATATCCACTCACTGCAACCTCCGCCTCCTGGGTTCAAGCAATTCTCCTACCTCAGACTCCTGAGTAGTTGGGATTACAGGCACACACCACCATGCCCGGCTAATTTTTATATTTTTAGTAGAGATGTGGTTTCACCATGTTGGTCAGGCTGGTCTCAAATTCCTGACCTCATGATCTGCCTGCCTCGTCCTCCCAAAGTGCTGGGATTACAGGCGTGAGCCACCACACCCGGCCCTGAGTTGTCTTTTACAATACTTCTATGAGAGTAGGTATACTATTATTATTATTACTATTTACAAGAAAGGAGTTGAGGAGCTTACCTAAGGACACATAGTTAGAAAGTGATAGTCAGGACACAAACTCAGGTTCATCTGACTCCCAGGTTATTCACATAACCATTGCCTGGTAAGCTTTTCCTAGCAAAAGCTCTTTGCTAGTCCTAGAGGTAGCAAGCCCCAAGTTATGTGGTGGGTGGAAAACAGAGGGACTCTGAGCCCATGCCTTAAGGTAGTGATTACACAGTGATCCAAGTACTGAAGACAGAGATACCGAATATGTTAACAGTAGCAATTTGGGATCATTCTCTGTAACTTTCCGTCCCAGATCTTTGCTTTCTATAGTACTTTATACCTCTTCTCTCCATCTCCCCCATGCATTTCCTCCCAAATCTGGCCTCCAGAAAAGTGCTTTCTGTTTTTAATGGATTCTTTCTCCAGAAAAATGCTTTCTGTTTTTAATGGATGAAGAGGCTCCCCCTCAACTTTCTGTGCTTTTTGTATTTGTCAGTATATAAGCATCATATTTTCTTTTCCATCTGCTATTTTTGTCTGTGTATTTTAAAATTTAATCTCTATTAACCATTATTCTGTAGTTAGATACCTGGATATTTTACTTTTTTTGGCTCATGGGGATATTCTAGACAGAACTCAGGATTAATTTGAATCATTTGTCTTGTACACTCCTTAATCACTTTGTGTTACTAAAATAGGTAGCTATATAATAACATTAGGAAATTTATTTTTTAAATGGAACCCAGTGTCCTTCTTCAGCAATTAACATTGTAAAGTCTCATAGGAGGAAGATCTCTGACAATATTGGTATTTATTACCAAAGAACTCTTCTGCTTCAATAAATAGTGTGAATCTAGACAAATTTATTTCTAAACATGAAATCTGTAATCCATCATATGGTTTTGGCTCACTATTAAAGTCTGTGTTAGAGACAAATGAAAATTCATTTTAGTCATAATCTGTATCTGTGAGAAAGTATATGATGATAATAATGCCCATTGTTCATGGAGAATATTTATAGAGTACTTCCTGTGTGCCAGGATGTGTAAGATATTCTGCATGCATATTCTATTTGGACTTCCATTTCAGACTTAGAGAGGTTCAGTTGCTCAAGGTCACGTAAGCTATTCAGATTTATATCTCAGAATTTGACTTCTTAACCACTATATAAGCCTGCACAGATCTTTAAGGTATGTTTGGCAAATATTTATTATATATAGAAATATCTAACTGAGAAAAGCTGACAAAAATCCTTGCCTTAATAGAGCAAGTTTTCTAAAAAAAGATACGTATTTCATGTGCCTTGATCAGTTAGATTTATAATATTGTGAAAGAAATGGAAAAATTCTTTCCTCTCACTAGGTCTCAGTTTCTTTATCCATAAAATCAGAAGTTATTTGCCAAGGATTCTTAGTTTCTGCCCTCAACTCAAACCACATTATGCTACTTTGTTTTTGTTGTTGTTGTTGTTGTCGTTGTTTTTTTTTTGATTGTTTTCTTTTGTTTTAGTTTTTGTTTTGAGAAACGGTATCAGTCTGTTTCCCAGGCTGCAGTATAATGACACACTCATACCTCGCTACAACCTTCCCTCCCAGGCTCAAGCAAACCTCCTGCCTCAGCCTCCCACACAGCTGGAACTACTGGTGTGCATCACTATGCCTGGATGATTTAAAAAAAAATTTTTTTTGTAGAACCAGGGTCTCACTTTGTTGCTCAGGCTAATCTCAAACCCCTGGGCTCAAGCCATCCTCCTGCCTTAGCCTTCCAAAGTGTTAGGATTACCAGCCTGAGCCACTGCACATGGCCTATGCTATTCTTAATAAGTTGGTTTGTTTTTGGTTTTTCTTTTGCATTTTTGTTTTAGTCCCTGATTCTTAATAACCACAAATGCTACTGAGAGGGTTGCAAAGCGGCCAAACTGCTACTGTGCTATGACTCAGCCTAGAAGCTATCAGCAGAGTTCTCTCATCTCTGCTTAACTAATCCTTCTCCCCCTACCTGTTCCAGACAGCTGATAACCTGCCACCTTGCTTGTGGGCTCTTTGCCATTCCCACAGATGGGCGCAAAATGACAGAGTTGGGAAACAGTCTAGGAAAATCAAATGCGGTCATTAGAAATTATTACTGACAGCTGTTCAGTGGTCACCATGAAATGAATTTGCCCACCCATCTGGATCCCAGAATGGTGGGTCTATATAGATGAATCCTTATGCTAAGATATAATGTAGAAATATTGTGGCTAATTTTTTTCAGTCACTTAAAAAAGAATTTAGGTGGTATTAGGACTAAAATGGAAATACCTTCCTACGTGATATTCCTGCAAAACAAAAAATGCCAGTATACAGTTCACAAAGCTCAAGCCATGCTAATTTTGTTAATGCCTCCCTGTCATCACTTCATTCATCAATACCCATAATAATATATACATGGGTTAACCTACTCTGTGCCAGGCATCTTGCTGGGCTCTGAGAATATAGAGACTATGATTAAAAGAAGGCTATTTTCCCTCAAAAAGCAAACATGATTTTTAGGTATACGGGCTTATTGGACTTTAGCGTTACACATCTAACATAATTTTTGTCACATATATGTAGACTGCCAGAAAAATCTATTATTTTTCGGACTATATATAGATCAGCGGTCCTCAACCTTCTTGGCACCAGGGACCAGTTTCATGGAAGACAATTTTTCCATGGATGGGATGAGAGGAGCTGGGGATGTCTGGGGATGATTCAAGCGCATTACATTTATCATTAGATTCTCATAAGAAGCGCACAACCTAGAACCCTCACGTGCGTGGTTCACAATAGGGTTCGGGCTCCTATGAGAATCTGATGCCACCGTGAATCTGACAGGAGGTGGAACTCAGCTTCACTCACTCATGCTCACTTGCCACTTACCTCCTGCTGTGTGGCCTGGTTCCTAACAGGCCATAGACTGTGTGGCCCGGAAGTTGGGGACCCCTCGTGTAGATTTAAAAATAAGGGTATAGTCTTAAGTCATTTTTTTAGTAACCAACACATTTTGAAGTATATTAACATGGCTGGTTGGGAAAGAAAACTGAATAATGTTCCCATCCACAGGTGATGTTGGGAGTGAGAGAGATAGTATTGCTGACTTTGTGTTGTAATAGATCTTGTTAATCTCTTCTTGTAACTTATTCAGAATAGAAGGGAATTGCACAGATATTTCGTTTTCTATGAAGGTTTGCCATGACTTGCAGCATCTGCAGTGGATGTATTTATTTTCCTGTTTAAATAGGACACAGATTCCCAGTGTCAATTTTGCTCTCATATTGATCTGACTGACTTCTCTTTTTTAGCAAACAATTGTCTCCTTGAGTTGCAAATAAGTAACTAGCTGAGGCAGGAAGAGCTTCTGCCTTGCCCAAGAAAGCTCTAAGAATTTGAAATCAGTTCCATTTCCTTGGGGGTGAAGTAAGAAATAGAGTCAACAAAAGCCCTAGTTCACCCAGAATACTCCCCACTTATTCCACCTGCTCCACCATCCAGACTGATCAAGATTGTTTTTTTTCTCTCTCTGCTTGGAAATAAATTATACAGTCATTCAATTACCTTAGACATGACCAAACTTCTCTGCACTCCCCCGCCAATTCTAAATGGTCCAAAGAAAGTAGGGTATAATAATACATTCCAGAAAGAGATTTAGCCAATAAAGATGACTGTATCATAACAGAAAATATGTTCATTCGTGTTCACTATGATTAAATTCTTCTACTAACAGACATTTTCATATACTCTTAAGCTTAATGGGATACTCGCCTTTATACTATAGAGTGAGGGATAGGTAGAGTTGATAATCAAAAATAAAATAAAGTTCATTTGCACATTTAAGTGAATTTCCATGACCCAGAAAGACCTGCTATGCTTTTAACAACCATAGGTTAAAATCATGTGTCTACAAAGAGTGAAGTGGATAAAAATAACAGCAACATATTAAGCACTGCTTTCCTATTTGGGAAATGAGGTTGCCCTTCCAGGTCATTGGACTTCTAAATTTCTTTCCAGTACAGGATCTGATCTGGAACATTCAGGCACTAATAAGACAAGGAAGCAATGACCACACAGCTACCTTGGGTAAAAATGGAAGTGGTCATGATCCTCTCATTAGAACAGGAACTTGTTTCCATGAGTTACAGCAGCTGGGGAGGAAAGTGTCTGCAACTCTGAAGAGGAAGATACATCAAAATGATCAATCATGGTTAACCCTGAGGAACAAATAATCACTTGGGGAAAAGGAAAATGAAGGCAAATGGGAAGGAGAAGACTTTGTGATTATTGGAAGGTGTAAAAAATTAAGAGAGATTTCTGGTTTCCAGTGTGGCATGTAGGAAGCCTGGAAGTTGTCAGTCCTGTGGTTACAACCAAAAAGCAGAAAAGATGAACAAATGGAAAATCAAGAACTGTTCTTATAATACATCTGTCAGAAAATTGAGGTCACAGGACAAAACACTGCCTCCAAAATTGGAAAAAACAGGCAGATACAGAGAATCACAGCTTACTAGAGCAAAAGCCTAGGACCAGAAACCCCCCACTGGAGTCAGTACTGGGATAGAAAAATTCAGCTCTAATTGATGAAACCCTGGGGGCTCAGTATAGACAAGCTTGAAATTTAAAAATTCCATTTGTGGCTGGTCTTAAAATGGCCCCGGTGCTTTCCTGAATTTTACCTCTAGGAGTCCCACCCAGTTGTCAGAGTAAACATCAGAGAAAAATCGACTCCTCCTTCAGGCAGCAGGAGGGAAAAAGTAATCATTTTGAAATATAGCCAGTGTATTTTGTTCTCCTTAACACATGCATGCCCTCAAGATAAACTATTTCCCTGGAGCCTGACCACCTCGGGTTTTACCAGAGCCTCATTGACCTGTGGGAAAAGAAGTGCCCAACTTGAACTTCTCCGATCTTCTACATAGATGTAGAAAATACCCAACTCTAGCTCCCTCCAACCTCCCACATGGGCGACTGGAAATCGTTAACTCCAGTCCCCACCAGTCTTAATGTCTTACTTTGAAGGTAGGGGCAGTGGGAAGAGAACAGCAAAACAGTTGTGAAGGTTACAACCCAGAGGCAAGGGTTCAGTAAATGATTGAGACATAATCATGTAACTATACAATGCTTCTCTTCCTCCCACATCTTACCACTGTATCAGTATGGCTTTTATACGAAAGGATTACAACTCAAAGAACTGCACAACCCAGAGAGTATTTAAGAAGTCACTAGAAACACAAAACAAAACCAACCAACCAAACAAACAAAAACCAAGGGAGACAAAAACAAGAACACTAGAGAAAAATTTTGTCTTTGAAACCTATAGCTATAGCTAACAGTAAACACAGTAAACTCTTAGCCAGATAAACATAAGACCTCTACATGTCCTCACTTATGAGAGCTGAACAATGAGAACACATGGATGCAGGGAGAGGAACAACACACACTGGGGCCTGTAGGTGGGGTATAGGGAGGGAGAGCATTAGGAGAAATAGCTAATGCATGAGAGGCTTAATAGGTGATGGGTTGATAGGTGCAGAAAACCACCATGGCACATGTTTACCTATGTAACAAAACTGCACATCCTGTATAGATAGGTATCCTAGAACTTAATTTAAAATAAAATAAAAAAGATAAAAAAAGACCTCACATTGAAGACTTGTTTATCTCAGTTCCTTTAACCTAGTACGTCATGTTCAGCTTTCAACCAATAATCACATGGCATACTAAGATATCAAAAACATAGTTTGAATAGGCAAAACAAGCATCAGAACTGGGCTCCATTATGGCAGAGATTTGGAAAATATAAATAGGGAATTTAAAATAACTATGATTAATATGCTAAGGACTCTAATGAATAAAGTAGACAAACATAAGAACAGATGATTGATATAAGCAGAGAGGTAGGAACTCTAAGAAAGAATCAAAAGGAAATTCTAAAGATTTAAAGAGCATTGTAACCAGACATTGAAAACACCTTTGATGGACACATTAATAGACTATACATGACCTTGACTGAGGAAAGAACTAGTGAGCTTACAGATAGGGTAATAGCAACTTTGAAAACTGAAATGCAAAGACAAATGAGAATAAGAGAGATAGAACAGAATATCCAAGAACTCTAAAAATCACAACAGGTGTAATATTTCTGCAATGAGAATTCCAAAAGAAGAAGAAAGAAGGAACAGAAGAATTCGTTGAAATAATAACTGAATTTTTTCTAAAATCAATGACAGACATCAAACCACAGATCCAGGAAGCTCATAGAACACAAAGTGGGATAAATAACAATGAATACATCCCTAGGTACATCATATTCAACTTGCAGAAAAATTATAACGAGGAAATCTTGAAAGAAAACAGAATGAGATATGGCAGGTGCCACCTTTTTATATAGGAACAAAGATAAGTATTCCATTGGCCTTCTCTTCAGAACTTATACAAGCAACAAGAGAGTACAGTGAAATATTTAAAGTTTTGAAAGTTAAAACAACAACAAACTAAAATAAAAAGGTAATTAAAACAACTTAGAAACTTAGAATTCTATAAGATTTCTTAAAGTGAATATATCTTTTAGAAGTAAGGGAGAAACATTTGTAGACAAAATGGGAGACTCTGTCATCAATAGATGTGCCTTGCAAAAGATGTTAAAATAATTTATTATTATTGTATTATTATTGATACATTATACATTCTCATTTCTTTGTGGTGAGAACATTCAAAAGCCTCTCTTCTATCTACTTTGTAATATACAATACATTACTATTAACCATCGTCACCCTACTATGCAATAAAATACTGGAGCTTATTCCTTTTAATTGTCACTTTGTACATTTTGGCCAACCTCTCCCCCTTCTTACCTTCCACTACCTATCCCCGGTCTCTGATAACCACTGTTATAGTCATTGCTTCTATGAAACCAACTCTTAAAAAAAATTCACATATGAATGAGATTATATGGTATTTTTCGTTTGGTATCTGGCTTATTTCACCTACATGATGTCCTCCAAGTTCATCTATGCTGTTGCAAATGGCAGGGTTTCATTCTTTATGTGACTGAATAGTATTCCATTGTATATATGCACCACATTTTCTTTATTTATTCATCTGTTGTTAGACACTTGGGTTGATTCTATATCTTGGCTATTGTAAATATTGCTGCAATAAACATGGGAGAGCAGGTATCCCTTTGACATATTGATTTTATTAACCATATTTCTGAGGGTCTATTCTTCACAGATACGAGGGTAACACGGTTTGGGCATTAATATATCTGGTACTGTGGACATCATAGATTTATTATTCCAGTATTATAGATAAAGAATTGGAATATGCAGAATATGTACAGAATTAAACAACTTACTAAAGGCTCCATATTGAGTGAAGAACAGAATTTAGATAAAATCTTAAGTCTCTCTCATTCTAGAGTGTGTTTATCCCCTACCCTCCTACACCAATATATGTTATTCTGCATGCAATTTAAAATAAATATATCATATTATAGTTACTCAAATTTGCCTGCTTCTGAATTAAAGCACCAATTTAGGCTGGAAATGTGAATAAAAACAGGAAGAATAAGGCAGAGATGTTGAGACTGAATTATTTAAATATGACCGTCTTCAAACACCATATGTATAATACTAAATTGAGAATTTGTAAACTCTCTAAAAGATTCAATTGGTAAAACTTTCAATGTTCAACTCTCTTTCAATCCTTCTTCCTCTTAAAGAAGATATCTTGAGGATTATCTGGTTCAGCTTTTAGACAAATACCCATTAACAAGCAATTGCCAAGTTCTTTTTTTAAGACTACATCTGTCTAGAGCTGGGCCTTTTTTCTTTCTTCTAATGCAAGGACTCAGAATCTGGATCATAGTCTTTTGAGACCAATTATAGCAATATTTTATTTTTGGATTTCATAATTTAGCCAGTGTCTGGCATATAGAAGATTCCAATTATGGATTTACTGAATGTGTGCTAAATATATGTGTCAGAACATTTCTGCAGTCCCAGAAAGAGGGTTTTTCTTTCATTTTTATAATACCCAAGATTATTTTCTCCCAACCCCCACCTCCCACTCTTTTCTTCTCTTTCTCCTACCCTCTCTCCTTCTTTCTATCTTACTTTGTCTCCTTCCTTCTTAATTCCTAAAAGGCCACTCATATGATAGTGGATATTAAAGAGGGACCACTCTTCTTTTTTCTCTCATGTTAATATCTTCTAACTAGCTTGGAGTTTTTATGAAACTTTGGGAAGTCGTTTTATTGTCTGTTTACTCCATATGTTGCTCTTTCTTCTTTATGTGGGCTCAGCTTACTTTGTTTTATAACTCTAGTGCTTTCTTTGTTCCATAGCATTTTCTTTTTTATTGATGTCTGTTTTATACAAATTCATTTTATTACAGGATGTGTGTTCTCTTCTTCTCCAGGATTCCCAAGATTGAGGGTTAAGCAGTGTCTTCCTTCCCAAGGCTTCTGCTGGGTAGGTCTGTAACATCATGGGAACTTTCTTTGAAGGTTAGGAAAGGAAAACAATCTCAGAAGAGCTGGTTAAAATGTATCAAAGCAGTTGATTATTCTAGCTTCTTCCACACCAGGGGAATATCTTACCTATACATAAAAGATTCTCTTCCCTTAGTAAGTTCTGTTATTGCTTCCTACCCTGGGAAAGACATCACATGATAAAATAATAACTGAGAATAGAAAATGAATCAAATTACTTTTGCAAAAATTCCCATTCTTTATTGTACCAGATATGTTTTTCAATATTCCATTGAAATGATATATTTTTAAATCATATGATTATTTGTTCTATTTTCATCTCATTTCTATCACCCATTGTAGTTCCCTATGAGAGATTTTTTTATGTGGATATTTATTGACCTTGTTCTCCAAGTTACCCAAGAGAAGGGTGGGTATGAATGAGATTATTGACATCAGTATGGAAATGAGTTTGAGAAGCTCTTTGACGACAAAGGAATACATGAAAGTTTATCTAAGTTGTAAAGATTACTAAAGGTCGTAAGTTTCTGCTATGGTTTTAGCCAACTTTTAAAAAGTCAGACTATGTTAAGTAGAACCGGATGAAACAAATGTAAGAATATTGAAAGGCCATAAAAGTTAGGAGCCTTTGAGGAAAATGACAATTTCTTTTGAGTTAGTGTTCAGCAGCAAATGTATTAATAATATGTAAGTATAACTCTTAACTTCACTCAAATCTAGACTTCTGATGGTATTTTTTTAAAAAAAAACACAGGTCATGAATTATAGTGAGGACTTGCCATAAGAAAATTGGACTTAGCAGCTTGCTATTGATCCATTCAATGAGTAGTAACAAACATTTCTTTTCATCGGCTTTGCATCTGCACATTTATCTGTTTCGAAAGCCAATTCGATAAAGCCTCTTATTTGACATTACCTTTCCATGTTCTATACTATTTGTTTTGGTTAGATTGAACTACGACTGTTGATACAGTTTCCTGAGGGCATTGGTATACTTACCATTGCAGAGTTATTTATTTCACAAGACTTCTTCTTTGTCCCTTTCAAAACTGCCATCTTTTCCACTGTGAAATGGCCTGGATTTGCAAGCAGGATGATAACTTTGGTATCTCATTGTGCCATCACCTTATAACACTTGCTATGCTTACATAACTTTTCAATTATGTGACCCTATTCAATATTATGATGAGGGAGCTGAAATGAGATTTTTTCTCAGGTATCTTATCCACTTTCATGTAGAAATTCTAATCTTTGCACGAATAGCAAAATTAGTGTTTTGGTAACACAAACATTGAAGCCTCTGAATTTTAAAAAAGGAGATTCTCAACTTGAGAAAGAATACAGGCTCTAAACTTCCAATTATATGTGATAAATCACTAAAAATGAAGCCATAATGTATGTGCGTGTATGTTTATAATCTCTCAGGATTTAGTGAATTTGCAGACATAAATTTGCTTCTGACTTATAAAATCGAGAGTTGGAAACCCTTCAGTAAGCGGAATGAAAGGAACAATGAAATAGTTTAATGCCTCCAGGTGTTCCTTACCCCCAGCCGTGCTTTCTTTTGCTGCTTTCTGTCTTGTCTTCTTCAACACTCTTGAACATGTAATGTATAATTGTGATCCAGCATAGCATAGAGGTTCAAAATGTAGACCTCCAAACAAGTCATCTGTATTCAAGTCCCAAATCTGCCTCTAAGCGGCTAGGTAGCCTTAAACAAAACTTAATCTCTCTGTGTTTTAATGACCTTAAATGGAAAATACGAAAAAAAAAAATAGTACTTGCTCATAGGATTGTGGTTAGTTTTAAATGAGATAGAATATTTTTAATGGTTACTTAAGATATAAATGTCAGTTATTGTTAATATCTGCCATTACCATATTTGATGGCCATCTATTGTTTTGTCTGTGTAATATCCCTACTATTTTCTTGTCTTTAAGTCTCCTTGAGAAATTTCTTTCCTTATTGTGGTTTTCTTAGACTCTTACTCAAGACGATTTGTCCTGCTCAAGCCAAGCAGTGACCATGAGACAAACCTCCTAGGGCAATCAATCTCCACTCCATGTAATTAAAAAAAAAAAAAGTCAACAATACTGCATTTCATGCTTAAACATTTGCTAAGGGAGTAGATCTTATGTCACGTGTTCTTATCACAAATAATATTTATAAGAGAATGGGAGAAAACTTCTGGAGGTGATGCATAGGTTTGTGGCATAGATTGTGGTGATGGTTTCACAGGTGTATATTTATCACTAAACTCATCATGTTGTATACCTAAATTATACAGCTTTTTGTATGTCAAATTTAAAAAATATTATAAAGAGACTAGTAACATTAGACACATTTCCAAAGCACAGAAAACAGCATGTAATGATGTGTTATTTACATGTGGTACACAAGTATTGGGTCCACATTTATAATTTTTTACACCTATATAAACTCCTATAACTATCCCCTATCTAAAGATAAAGAGGACTTTCTATACCACAGAAACTGCTTTATGCTCTCTTCCAGTCACTACCCATAAGATAACCAATATACTGATTTCTATTATCATAGGATATTTTTGTATATTTTTGAAGTTTATATAAATGTGTTCATAAGATATATACTTATATCATTTTTGACAACAATATGTCTGAAGTTCATTCATGTAATATAGCACTAGTCTTTTTGCTCTGCTGTGCAGTATCTGATTGTAGGAATATACCACATTTTATGTTTTCTCTTGCAGATGAGCATTTGGATTTGCTAATTATGAATAAAACTGCTGTGAACATGCTGGTATATATCTTTGAATGAGCAAATGCAACTATTTCCATTAGTATTTTCCCATTAGTGTGATTGTTGGATCATAGAATATGATGTATAAAATACTATGTTAAGAGACAGTGTCAAATGGTTTTTCACATAAGTTAAATTGTATGTCTACCACCATTAAGTGAGAATTAAAACTGTTCTATTTCATCATCAATATTTGGTATCATTAGTCTTTTTAATTGCCTTATGAGTGGGAATGTAGTGATATGTCAGTGGAATTTTATTTTATATTTCCCTAATGACTACTTATGTTGTTAAATTTTCTACAATTTTTCAGCCATTTGGATATCAACTTTTGTGATGTACCTATTCACGTATTTTCTTCAGTTTTTATTACATTATCAATCATTTTCTAATGACTTATAGGAATTCTTTATATGTTCTAGATATGAGTCAATTGCTGAACCATTCATTGCAACTATCTTTTCCCAAATCATGGTTGCATTTTCATTATTTTAATGTTGTCTTTTGTTGAACAGAAGTTCTCAGTTTTATTGAAGTTTATTTTGTCTTTTTTCCTCATTTTATGTTTAGGGATTTTGTAGTCTGCATAAGAAATCCTTACCTACATCAAGGTCATGAAGATAATAATTCTATATGTTTGGTTCTTGAAGATTTATTGTTCTATCTTTCACATTTATGTCTGTGGTCAATATAAAATTAAATTTTATGTGTACTGTGTAACTCAGCATCATTTATTAAAAGACTATATTTCCCCAAAGAATTATAGTAGTACTTTTGTCACAAATCAAGTGATTTTGTGTATTGGTTCCATCTCTGTACTTTTAAAAATTATATTCAATTGGACCATTTTTCTATCCTTACTCCAACGTTTATAATAATTTAATTATTTTAATTTTATAATATTATCTGATTATATAATAGCTTAAATTCCCCAGCATTGATTTCTTCTTTATGAATACCTTGGCTATTCTAGGTCCTTTATATTTTCATACAAAATTTAGAATTAGCACCTCAATTCCCACAAAAATAAAATACTGATATGTTGACTGGAACTTTAAAAAAATCTATTGGCCAATTAAGAGGACTGCATATATTAACATTGAGTCTTACAAATTATTATCATGGCACAACCCTTCTAAATTTATATCTTTATTATTTTCACTATTTTATAGTTTTTAGTGGAAAGGTCTTGAACATACTTCGCTAGATTTATTAATAGTTACATGGTAATATCTTAAATGGTATTTATGTTTAATTTTCTATTTGTTTATTGTGATTACATAAAACTCAATTTTTATCTTATGATGGCTTATGCCAAATATATATTTTAATTTTTCTATGTGTACATTTATGAGTGTTTTCAAAATACAATATTCATGTCATTTTTCCCTTTGTCATGTCATGGTGACTGGAATATCTAAGAAAATGGTAAGTTGAACTGATGAAAGTATATATGCTTCTCTTGTCCTTAACCTCACTGTGAAAGTGAAAAGCTCTTTTTAATCTCTAATTTACTGAGAATTTTCATCATGAAGAGTATTAATTTTTAATCAATGTTTTTTCTGCAACTATACAAGTGGTTACATATTTTTTCTCCTTTACTCTTATTAGATTATTTTAAATTATTTTATGTACTTTACCTCAACTTTCAAAATTATCAGAATAAAATTGTTAATAATATCTCCATTGTATATTTTGATGTTTACATATTTGAGGTATATTCTCTTTTCTATTACTAATATTATATTGATAATTTGTGTTTTTTGCCTCTTTTTTCTGATCATTCTTGTTAAAATGTAATACTAATTTTGAAGAACAAATTTTGGCTTTGTAATTAAATTTATTTTATATTTGCCTTCTTTTCAATAATATGTGTTGTTTATTTTCAAACCCTTTATTTCCTTGAGTTTAATTTGATGTTCTTTTAATAGCTGTATGAGATAAAATGTTAGATAATTAACGTTCAACTTTGTATAGTTCTAAATATGGCCCTTTAGACACATTATTAGCTGTATCTAGTGGATTTTGATGTCATATTTTTAATTTTTATTTTCCTCAGAATATTTTCTGATTTTCATTGTGATATCCTCTTTGACCCATGCATTATTTGGAAACATGTTTCTTAATTTCTTAATTTTGGGGGGAATTTAAATTTCAAGATGGGTACCACAGGGAAATAATGGCAAAAATGATCACATTAAATGTAATGGCCCAAAGAGATCGCCTTTGAGTTTGCCACCAATGTCTTCACAGCTGCCTTATCTCTGACCTTTTCTCACTTGATTTACTAAATTACTCCATATTCATCCAATCAGTTCTCCTTTTGCTTATGTTATCCAGAGTTTCTTTCTGCTTCGTGCAACAAACAGCCCTAACTGAGACATTCTGTACACAAAATACCCTGTTCTGCCATTCCTTGTTACCCTATTCAAATGTTGCCAAATATTCAAGGTCCAATTTAACTCATACTTCATTTAAGAAATGCCCACATCCTCTGGATTCTGCTAAATAGTAACATAGTTTCTTGGACTTATTAGTTAAATTGTTTTATATTCAATTATTATTTAGCATTCTTTCTCTACCAAGATTCTTAGAGGTAGGAGGTAGTTAGGAAGCTTAGAAATTATATAGGAGCTGAAATTCTGGTTAGGTAGTTATCCAGACTCTATTTTTACTCTACTAGTGACTGGAAATTCACTACTTTAAGAAGGCAGGCTCTTCAATGTTTGAGCAGCTCTAATCTTTTTAAAAAGTATTTTTAATAGAGATAAATAGTACTTTTGGAATTCATATCTACGATACTAGTTCAGTTCTCTTAAACATTACAGTATCTACTCCTTTCTCCTCAGAAAATATATTGCAGATATTTAGAAAGTGCTACCCCATCTACGCTGAATCTTGACTTTGACACTTTCTGCTCTATTAATTATTCCTTGGGAGGGGATGGCCTCCAGCCTCCTGTCACCCTGCATACAGATTCTGGATTGCATTACATTTAAACTGTCGATGGCTTTCAACTGAGAGAACACAGCATGTCACTCAAGATGTGTTCCAATGATTGTAGGTTAGAGTGGAATTCTTACTTCATATTCATAAATCATTTAACTCTGCAGTTACTAGAACATAAAATATAGTAATAAGTTGCAGTAAAGAGACTGTTGCTGAAATATGATTAGAGGTGACTTTCTATTAAGGCATTTTAAGTGAACCCTAAATACAATCCTTTAACCACTGAAAATGAGACTATGGCACAAGAGTAATTGTCCCCTCAACAAAATGTCACATGGTGGGATTAATTTTTTTAACTAATATGTTAAGAAAGTAATTTATGAACAGTATTAATAGAAGAGATTATTACTGAAAGGAAATAATATTCTTCGTTTATGAAATTTCATATATATACACACTTACATATACAAAAAATGTAATTCATAGATAACTCTCAGGAATATGTCACCCATTAATTATTATGTAAAGTAAAATTATCCAATAATAATTATTTTGGTTTAAAATAGAAAAGTCAATATTTTAATATGATAGAATAATTTACAAGTTACTAAAAAGCCAAATTTGTAATCCATAAAATTCTAATAAAATGCAATATATATATAGTGTATGTGTGAATTTAAGAAAGATCAATAGACTCTATACAAATAGAAACAGAAGAAGATTAAAGAGTTAAAAAGGAAGAGAGAATGGAAAAAGCATAAAATAATATCAAATAATCTAACGTATGAATAATTGGACTTCCACAGTAGGAAGAAAGAGAGCAAGAGGAAGATGAATTATTTGAAGAAATAATACCTGAGAAGTTTCCAAAATAATAAGACCATAAATTACAGATTCAAGAAGCTAATATAATTCCAGAATAATTAAAAACAAAACAAAACAAACAAATTCTAGACGTATTGAAATTGCTGAAGATGAAAGACAAAGAGAAAATCTTGAAGGTATCCAGAAAAAAAAAACATATTTTATATACTGAAATGTAGAATAAAAAATGAAAGCAGATTTTTCATTTCAAACTCTGAAAGCCAGACAATAATAGAATAATATCTACAAACAGAGATTTCTAGGCTCAGGGAAACTGTCTTTTTAAAAAAGAGGAATAAATAAAGACTTTTCAGACAGTCAAAGCCTTGAAGGAGTCTATGCCAACAGCACTGCACACAAGAGATATTAAAGGAACCACAGAAAAAGAAATCTAGAAAGAAATAAAGCTGAAAATGTCATACGTAATTGTAAATATAAAATTATTATGACTTTTTAAATCAAAAAGCAATGATGATATAGGTTTATAGACTATGGAAGCGTAAAGCATATGACTAAATACAACAAAGAATGGGAAGAGGAATTGGAATTATACTATTTTAAGATCTATATATGACACATGAAAAACTAAAATATTTGAAGGTAGATTCAGTAATTAACTATGTACTATTTATGATACATACTAATACATATAGTAAACTTGTACTGAAATGACATGAGTGTACGCGCCATAGTGCAGTATACATACTAAAATGTACTATGGCTTAAGTAGTACACTGTATGTATTAATATGTACTAATATGTACTCATATGACTTCAAGAATTTTTATATAACATTCTTGAAATGACAAAATTATATGTACAGAGTACAATTTAGTGGTTGGTAGAGGCTTAGTCTAGGGAAAATGCTGAAAAACTAAAAGGATATAAATATAAGCCAATAGTAGAATTAATAAGAAATTGTAAAATATAGGCAATTCATTTTAAAATTTTTATCTATTTATTTTACAATTTTTTGTGGACACATAGTAGGTGTATGTATTTGTGGGGTACATGAGATTTTTTGATACAGGCATGTAATATGAAATAATGACATCAGGGAAAATGGGGTATCCATCCGCTCAAGCATTTATCCTTTGTGTTACAAACAATCCAGTTACATTCTTAATAGTTATTTTAAAACACACAATTCTTTGGGAGGCTGAGGCAGGCGGATCATGAGGCCAGGAAATCGAGACCATCCTGGCTAACACGGTGAAACCCCGTCTCTACCAAAAATACAAAACGTTGGCTGGGCGTGGTGGTGGGCGCCTGTAGTCCCAGCTACTCGGGAGGCTGAGGCAGGAGAATGGAGTGAACCTGGCAGGTGGAGCTTGCAGTGAGCCGAGATCGCGCCACTGCACTCCAGCCTGGGCGACAGAGCGAGACTCTGTCTCAAAAAAAACAAAACAAAACAAATACAAGTTACTATTGGCTATAGTTACCTTGTTGTATGATCAAATAGTGTATCTTATTCTTTATAACTATTTTGTTTTGTACCCATTTATCATCTCCACCTCTCCCCTAGCCTGGCACTACCCTTCCCAGCCTCTGGTAACCATCCTTCTACTCACTATGTCCATGAGTTCAATTGTTTAGATGTTTAGATCCCACAAATAAGTGAGAACATGTGATGTTTGTCTTTATGTGCTTGGCTTATTTCACTTTAAATAATTATCTTCAGTTCCATTCATCTTGTTGCAAAGGACAGAATCTCAGTCTTTTTATGGCTGAATAGTACTCCATTGTGTATATGTACCATATTTTCTTTATCCATTCCTCTGTTGATGGGCATGTAGGTTGCTTCCAAATTTTGGTTATTGTGAACAGTGCTGCAACAAACATGAGATAGCAGATAACTCTCCCTTGTACTGATTTAATTTCTTTTGTATGTTTACTTACCAGTAGGATTGCTGGATCATATGGTAGCTCTGTTTTTAGTTTTTCGAGGAATCTCCAAACTGTTTTCCATAGTGGTTGCACTAGTTTACATTCCCACCAACAGTGTACAAGCCTTCCCTTTTCTCTACATCCTCATCAGCATTTATTATCGCCTGTTTTTTGCATAAAAGCCATATTAACTGGGGTCAGATGATAGCTCATTGTAGTTTTTATTTGCATTAAGCCTTTTTAGCTGGGGTCAGGTGATAGCTCATTGTAGTTTCTATTTGCATTTCTCTGATGATCAGTGATGTTCAGCACCTTTCATATGCCTGTTTGCCATTTGTATGTCTTCTTTTGAGAAATATCTATGCTGATTTTTAATCAGATTATTAGATTTTTTTCCTATAGAGTTATTTGAGGTCTTTATATACTCAGGTTATTAATTCTTCTCAGATAGGTAGTTTGCAAATGCCATTTAATTTTTTTAAAAGCACCAAAAGTGGAAAAAATAAACGAAGAACAGATAGACTATCTTGCAAACAGCCAGTGAAATAATAGATTTATATCAAACACTAACAATACTTACATTATCACTTGTTTAAATTATTGTTTCAAGACAGAGGTTGTCATACTGGATTAAAAATTAAGGACCAATAACCAGATACCACTACATACCTTTAAGAATGGCTAAAACCCAAAACACTGAAAATAACAAATGCTAGCAAGAGTGTGGAGCAACCAATATATTCATTCATCACTGATGGGGATGCAAAGTAGTACAGCCACTGTAGAAGACAGTTTGGCAGTTTCTTAGAAAGCTATATATACTTTTACCACATGATCCAGTGATCATATTCCTTGGTTAGCTCACACAAACACACAAAAAAAACCCACAACCAAAGACAAACAAACAACAAAAAAACCTTGCACACAAATATTTAGAGCAGCTTTATTCATGATTGACAAAACATTTAAAAAGTAAGAACAAACAAGATACCATTATAAAACTTCAAGAAAACAAGATACCCTTCAAAAGATAAATGTATAAACAAACTGTAGCACATCCATACACCGAAAAATTATTCAGCAATAAAAGGAAATGAGCTACCAAGTCACAAGAAGACATAGAGGAAGCTTACATGCATGTTACTGAGTAAAATAAGCCAGTATGAAAAGATTGCATACTACATAATTCCAACTACATGACATTCTAGAAAAGGCCAAATTATAGAGACAGTAAATAGGTCATTCGTTGCCAATGGTTCAGTAAAAAAGAGGATGAAACAGGTGGAACTCAAGGAATTTTTTAAGGCAGAGAAATTGTTCTATTTGATGCTGCAATGATAGCTACATGCAATTATACCTTTGTAAAAACCCAGAAATTGTATAACAGAAAGACTAAATCCCAATGTAAACTATGAACTTTAATTAATAATATTCTGTCAATTGCAACAAATGTGTCACATTAATGAAAAAATGTTAATAATAAAGGGGATTGTGGGGAAGAAGAGGGGAGAGAGGGATAATATGGGTACTCTGTCATTTTGAAACCGACCCAATTGTCCCATAGACAGTTTTTTTTTTTTTTTTTTGGATAAACATAGAAGTTGATTCTTTCAGTCTTAAAACTAGAGAAACTTACATTTGTCTTATCTGAGTTTCTTTCAGGGAACTGACAATCAGTCAGCATCCCAGACATTATCAAGGAGCTGAAACTTATAAGATCACTGCATCTGGACAATGGTGGGATGCCAGATCCCTTGCTTGCCTTGATGGTTCTGTACTCCTCGCTAATACCTGTTTTACTGCATGTAGCTACATCCCTTCTCTGCAATATAAATCCCCAATTTTAGTCGGTCAGGGAAACAGATTTGAGACTGATCTCCTGTTCTCCTCGGCTACAGCACCCAGGAATAAAGCCTTCTTTCCTGGTAATACTCATTGTTTCAGTAATTGACTTTTCTTGCTGTGAGCAACAGGACCTAAAATGAATCCATTTCAGTAAAAATTTCTGCTTATTTTTTCTTTAAATCTTAAACTTCTCTAAAAATAGTCTATTAATTTTAAAAGGTAATATTTATCTATTTGCTAGTTACAAGAAACTTAGATTGAATGTGATGGCACGGATAAGATTAAAACAAATGTAAACACTAATCAACAGAAAGCTGGTGTGACTCTTAATAACAGAAAAGTTGAAGTGAAAACAAAATATATTATCAGAAATTAAAGAAGGCCATTGTGTAGCAATAAAATGTTTAATTCAGCAAGATGACATGACAACTCCAAAGGGGTATGTACCTAGCAATAGAACTTAAAAATGCACAAAGCAAAAGTAGATAAAACTGAAAGGAAGAAGAGGCAGATTCACAATTATAGCTGGAAACATCAACACTCTTCAGCACTACATATTCAGTAATCAATAGAACAAACAAAGAAACAGAAAATTGGTAAGAATGTAGGAGACTGAATATCACAAGGAATGTGAATTATTTCACATTTACAGAACACTCCATCAAATAACAGCAAAATACTCATTTTTTTCCACTGCACATAAAAAATTCACCATGATGGACCATATTTTGGGCCAGAGATTGGCAAACTTCTGTATAAAAGGTAAAATAATAAATATCTTAGGGGGTTTTTGATCTACACAGCCTCTCACCACAACTCATCTGTTGTCGTGTGAAAACCCTTGAGAATAGAGAAACAGTTTGGTATTTTTTTTTTCTGGCCAAATTGAATAGATAACATTCTACTCAATAATCTCACTCTGCCCTAGGTATTTACTCATGTGAAATAAAAACTTAGGTACACACAAAACCTGGTACCTGAATGTTTATAGTAGTTTCATTTGTAATCGCCAAAATCTGACGACAATCCAAATATCTCACAGCGAGGGAGAAGGTAAACAAGCTGGTATATCTACACAATGGAATGCTGTCAATCAATCAAAAAGGAAGAGACTATTTTTGGGTGCAACTACATAGATGAATCACAAATGAGCTATACTAAAACAAAAAGATTCAGTTTAAAAATGCTATATATTGTATGATTCCATTTATATAACATTCTGGAAAAGACAACATTTGAAGGATTAATGTTATATTAATGGTTGCAAAAGGCTAGGACTGGGCGAAAGGTTAACCACAAAGTGCCAAGGAGACCATTTGGGCAATAATAGGATTGTCTTATATTGTTGCTGTGATGGTGAGTGCATTAATTACTGATTTTTAAACTCATAAAACTGTACACTATCTATCAGTAAACTTTACAGATAAATGTTATGTTAGATTCTACAGAGTCCCTGAAGGTAACATGGGGGCTACCACTGTGTGAGGATACTGTGACACTCTTGCACCTGTTTTATGAATTAAGGGTTTTTTAAAAAAACTATTTGAGTGGTACAGTTTATATCATTATGTACAAGATCTAGTTTAGATGAAAGAAGAAATATCATCTCATCTTAGAGGATTCTGGCTCTCACTACCCTCAAGAATATTCCAAGTAATTTTCTATAAGACACTGCATTTTCTTCGCCTTTGTCACTTCTTGCCTGCACTATTAACCGATCTCCTCTTCTTTTCAGTGAATTTGCCAATAATATTTCATTCAAATTCATCCCACATAAGTAGTAGATTTAAAATGAAAACTTGATGAATATCATTGAAAGCACCTGACTGTTTCACTGAATTCTGAAGCATGAATTCTTGAGATTTTCTGAAGGTGTGTCAGGGGCTGCCACCCGGAGTGAACATAAAGCAAATTGTACCTTCCTCCTCCCCTGAATGCACTAATTTCAACAAGGAAATTCTTCTTTTATTTGTTTTATAAATTTAAATTCCACCTCAGATTACTTACATACAATAAGTTCTACTTTCAGAAACAGTTTTAAAACCCCAAACTCTCCTGATAAAAACGTCTTCTTAACGTGGCAAAAAAGTGCAACGGTTGTTCTATCTGGTCTTCTTCAACACTGCATTTACCATTTCTTGCCCTAGTCTTCCCGTAGCATGATTAAACAGTCATGCTCTCCATAAGCTCTGTGCCTTGCTCATTGAAGCCTATCATCCCAGAATGTTCTTTATCCTTTCATTTGCTTGGATAACTTTTGTTCATACATACAGATTCATTTTTAGAGGTAAGTGTAAGGAAATTCCTTGACATTCCAGGCTGGATTATTTATTCCTTCTCATATTTTCATTTTACATATTGCTGTAAGCACATTTTCACATTTTATTATATTGCTTTTTATGTGACTCAGAACTCAGCCTTTGAGTCTCTTTTGATCTCTTCCCTTCCTGTCCACACACACTCCCTTTAGTGACCTCATCCAGTTTTTTTGACTTTATATATTACCTATATGCTTATGATTCATAAAATTATCTCCAACTTTGATATCTCCACTGAAATAAAGACTTCTTTAATAAATTTCCAACTTAAAATTCCTAATTGACTATCTAATAGGTATCTCAATCTTGACTTTTTCAAACTGAACTTCTTAATATCTCCCACCCCAAAACTATTGTTTCTGAATTATTTCACTTTTTTGCTAACAACAATAGCCTTAGTCCAGTTGTCAACCAAAACCTATGAACTCATTCTTGAATCTTCTTCTTTAACAATCAATATCGATATGTAAAATAACCCTTTTAGCTTTATTATCAAAATATACTCATATCATTCCAGTTCTACTATTGCATTGCAAACACCTTAGAGACCAATCCTCCAGCTAATGACAAGCATAACTACACAAAATTCAAAAGAAAAAGCAACTATCTGAAAACAGTGGCGCAAATGAAAAACCTGCCTATTGGCAGATTGTTAGAGGGAAATCAAAATGTGGAAATCTTGCTAAATGGGGTTCATTACTTTTCAACACTTTTGGCTTCATCACAAAGGCTTTCCTCAGTAATGGAGAAAAGCAGCCTTAGCAGCTAGAACTCCAAGACCTCAAGAGGAAAAAGCAGAAAACACCGTGGAGAAAAATTAAAGATAACTTAAGTAAGTGGACAGATGCATTGTATAAGAGTGTTAAAAGAGTCACTTACGTTAAAATTGTAATTCTCACTGAAATAACTTACAGATTCACTAAAATTTCTATCATAATTCTAACACGTGTTTTGTAGAATTTGACAAGGATATGGTAATATTTATACAGTAATACAAACAACCTTTAATAACCAATGCAAATGTTTTGAATAAAAAATTAGAATGGCACACTATGTCAACTTTAAGAATCAATATAAAGCTATAATAATGATGATAGTTTGGCAATGGTTCAGAAATGGCTCCATATCATGGTCAAATGATTTATTCTACCATTATTATTTTAACTCTTCATTTTGTGATATTAAATTCATATGCAGTTGTAAGAAATAATACAGACAGGTCCCACTGAGTAAAAGAGATCCTTTACCCAATGGTAGCATCTTGGGTAAGTTGTCTGCTGATTTTCTATGTTATAATTTTATCTATTACTGAGGTAGGGTGTAAAAATCTTTGATATGGTTTGGCTGTGTCCCCACCCAAATCTCACCTTGAATTGTAGTTCCCATAATTCCCACGTGTTGTGGGAGGCACCCGGTGGAACATAATTGAATCATGGGGACAGTTTCCCCCATACTGTTCTTGTGGAAGTGAATAAGTCTCACGATATCTGATTATTTTATAAAGATTTTCCCCTTTCACTTGATTCATTCATTCTCTCTTGTCTGCCGCCATGTAAGACATGTCTTTTACCTTCTGCCATGATTGTGAGGCCTCCCTAGCCACATGGAACTGTGGGTCCATTAAACCTCTTTTCCTTTATAAATTACCCAGTCTCAGGTATGTCTTTATCAGCAGTGTGAAAACGGACTGATACAGTCTTTAGCTTAAATTGTGTATTTGCCTATTTCTCCTTTCACTTATACTAGTCTTACTTCAAATATTTTGCATGGTGCATGGATATTGAAGATTAATATGTTTTGTTGGAATGACCATTTTATAATTATACAATGTCCCTCTCTGTCTCTAGTTATTGACTGAGATATAGATCTGGAGTCTTATTTACCAGATATTTTTCATTTCTGAAACTTTGCGTAATATAATTTTTTTCTTTTTTTACATTTACTACATCTATATTTTTATAGTTTATCTGAGTTTCTTAAAAACAGCATATAGGTAATTTTAAAAGATAATTTCTGTTTAATATAGTTACCAATATGTCAGATATTTTACTTTTGTTTTGTGTTTTTCCTTCCCCAGTGATTTTACTGTTTGCTTTTCTCTACCTTTCTATGGGTTACTTGCCCTTTTTCAGAATTTCATTTTAATTTGTCCATAGTGTCATTGAGTGTATGTGATGTAAACCTTTCTTACTGGTTATTATATATATATAACATTTTATGTACATAACTTATCATAGTCAATTGGTGTCATTATTTTGCCAGTTAAAGTAAAATGTAGAATCTGTAGCACAATTTATGCTCCTCCACCACCACCCATTTACAATATAATTGTCTTAAATATTTTTCCACATAAACTTAGAATCACATCAGAAGGTATTATAATTTTAGCTTCTAGCATCAAACATAATTTAGAAAATTTAAGAAGAGAAGAAAAATGTATTGTCTTTGCCAATATTTTATAACAATTAGAAAACTTCCTTTAGCCATATCCTTAGGACAGATCTGCCGGTGACAAGTCCTCTTAGTCTTTCTTTATTCCAAAATATCTTGATTTGTCCTTCAGTCTTGAAATATATTTTTAGTAGACATAGAATTCGGGGTTGACAGAACCTTTTTTCAGCTCTTAAAAAATATCAGGCCTCTTCTCCTCGCTGACCTGGTTTCTCATGATAAACCCGCTGTTATTCAATTTGTTTTTACCTTCATGTACAGTGTCGAATTTCTTGCTGCTTCCAAGTTATTTTCTTCATCCTGAGTTTTCAGAAGCTTGACTATAATGTGTCTTGGTGTGTACAGTTTGTAGTTTATTCTGTTTGTGATACAAACTAATCCAAGAAGCAAAGTAGTTTCTTGGATCTGTTAGCTTACACCGTTTCCCAAATTTGGGAAGATTTTAGCCATTATCTCTTAGAGTAATTTTTCAATCTTATCCTTTTTCTTGTCTCCTGGAACTCAAGAGACACAAATGTTAGCTCTTTTGAGATATAGTCTAAAGTTTCCTCAGGCACTGTTTATTTTTTAAAATGTATTTTCTCTGTTTTGTCGATTGTGTAATTTTTATTGTTCTCTCTTAAGATTCAAAAATTATTCATTCTATCCCTTCTGTTCTTCTATTAGAACCACCTTTTGCAATTTAATTTTCATTATTGTAGTTTTATGTTCTAAAATTTTTATTTGATTCCACTCTATACCTCCTATTTCTTTGCTAAGACTTTCTATTTTATTGCTGAGTTAAAAAAATATTTCCTGTATGTTTGTAACTTCTGGGTGAAGCAATTTTATGATGACTGCTTTAAAATCTCTGTCAGAGAATAATTTCTGCCATCTCAGTTTTAAGTATTGATTTTTTAAAAATCAAGTTCAGATTTTTGAGTTCTTAGTAACATGAGGGACTTCCTACTGAAACCCGGACAACTTGAGTATTATGTTATGAGATCTTGACTCTTCCTTCAATTTTCTGTCTTAGCTGTCTTCCTTTAACATGACTCCAGTAAGGAGAGAAAGGCATGCCTCATTATCGTTGAATGAATGAATAAGTCCAGGCACCTCACATGATTTCCACTGACACTGCAGGGCAGGGGATGGAAGGTGACAATGGGAGGATGAAAAGAGAAGCAGGCTGAGGGAGAGATACTTCGTTACCAACCAGTGGAGATAAAAGTCTCCACCCTCTATTCAGCCATCTTTGGTGCCACAGCTTTACTTTGAGGAGAACTGATGAGTGTCCTTACAGCTGGACACGTGTTGGAAGTCCAGGCTCTCCACTCAGTCTTTGCTGGGATTGGTGAAAGTAGGGCAGAAATTTCTTTTTTTTAATTTTTCATTTTTTTGCTAGTGTTTAGGAATAGTAGCTATTACTATATGAAAGTGTTCCGCCTTCCTCTTAATAGAATGCTGCTTTCCTGGTCCTATGGCTAGAGAAAAGGCT
Source organism: Homo sapiens (assembly GCF_000001405.40). Taxonomy (NCBI): domain Eukaryota; kingdom Metazoa; phylum Chordata; class Mammalia; order Primates; family Hominidae; genus Homo; species Homo sapiens. The sequence goes on along the minus strand of NC_000010.11, from coordinate 107,744,227 downwards.
TTGTAGATGTTTTCTTTTCTATGCCTGCTGATGCTTTTAAGCTACCACCTTCAACAGTTTTATTACTGGAATACATAACATAAAAAGAAAACCCAGGAAACTGACCACACCATTGCACAGATTGTGAGGTCCTTAGGTCATGACTTATTTTATCTACCTTTTAGTGTCCTTCAATGATTGTTATATGTAAAATGTCCAAGCTTTTCATTGTGTATAGCAGGAGAAATAGGAAAAAAATGTCTACTCCATTTTTCCACAAATGTAAGAGGTCTGTTGATTTTTGTAAAATTGCCAAGACAATTCAATAAATTTCATTGCATTACACAAATATTTCATATCAAATATATAATATATATGCACAGTAATATATATACATAATTTACAGAGAACCTTTCATATATTTTATTTCTACATTTCATATTAATCTGCAACATTGTTATTATAGTTTAAATTGTTTTCTATTAAATAAGTTTTTGGAAAAAATGAAATAAACTCTTTTATATGTACATACATATTAAATATTTTAATGCTATTTATTCCTTTCTGTAAATAAGAGTTTCCATCTGGGATCACTTTACTGTAACCTGTAGAACTGTCTTTGCAACTTCTTGTAATGCTAGTCTGGAAATGGATCCTATTTTAGCATTTGTTTACCTAAAAATGTTTTCATTTTGTATTCATTTTTAAAGAATATCTTCACTGGACATAGAATAACAGGTTGACATTTGGTTTTATTTTCAGCTCCTACAAATGTTGCTACATTTTTATTCTGGCATGCATTGTTTTTCTTGCTAAATCAATGGCTATTTCTATTTTTACACCTGTATATGGATTGTCCTCATTTTTTTCTTTTAGTTGTTTTTAAAATTTTATTTTACAATTTTCTTTTGATGTTTGTTTGTTTGTTTGTTTGTTTGTTTTTGAGATGGAGTCTTGCTGCAATGCCCAGGCTGGAGTGCAATGTGAGATCTTGGCTCACTGCAACCTCTGCTTCCAAATTCAAGTGATTCCTCTGCCTCAGCTTCCCAAATAGCTGGGAATACAGGCACGCTCCACCACACCCAGCTAATTTTGTATTTTTAGTAGAGATAGGGTTACACCATATTGGCCAGGCTGGTCTCGAACTGCTGACCTCAAGTGATATGCCTGACTAGGCCTCCCAAAGTGCTGGAATTACAGGCGTGAGTCACTGTCCCCGGCCAATTTATAGCTTTCTATCAGTGATTTGGTCATAGCTTTGGGTAGATTTTTTGAACTTCCCAGACATGAGAAGAACTAATTTTTGTATAAATACTTTAAACCCATTCTTTTTTGAGGGGAATTAAATTAGACCTATGTTAGATTACTTGAAATTTTCTCATAGTATTGAGAATTTGTTCATCATTTAGCATTTTATTCTATCAGTGATTTAGTTTATGTATTTTCTCTTTCTATGTCTTCAAGGTTACTGACTTTTACTTTGATATTGCTGAATCTACTTTAAAGTTCATCCTGAGTATGCTTGCACTTTACAGCCCTAGAAGTTTCATTTACATATCCTTCATGTCTTCCTTTATACTATTCATGTTTTCCTTTAATTTATTACACATAATTATACCTCCTTATAGTTCTTATTTGGTAACACTACTATTTCTGATTTTTGAAGCTTTGGGTTTTGTTTTCTTTTTACTAGTGGTAGGACATTTTCCTACTTCTTTGCATGTCTCGTGTTTCTTTTATTTGATGCTGAATAATGTTAATACTGTTTTTAAATATATTTTATTGTTTTTCTTCCGATAGTGTTAGACGTTATTTTGGCTGGCAGTTAAATTACATTCTAACCAGCTCGATTCTTTTAAAAACTTGTTAATGAAAGTCTAGAATAGCCTTTACTGTAAGATTAATGTATCCATACTAACAAGATTTGATCATTCTAGAGCCTCTTTTGAAAATTGCAGATGTTTTATGGGTTGTTTCCTGCTAGGTGTGACCTGTAGTTTATCACAGATCCATGTTAGGTATTTTTAGGCTTACAATTCCCCTGTCATTGTTTTTACTCCAGAGATCATTCTTTATGCAGTCTGAAAAGTGACTCCTGGTCAGAATAATTGCAGGAATCAACTCATTTCCGATTCTACTCTCAGAGAACACGGTCTCCGTTCTGTGATGTTTGAAATAATTATTTAATATATTTTGTCCTGTTTTCTAGTTATTTATTATAAAGGCAAGTTCAAGGTTCACTTATTCTGATATCTCTTTAAATGGAAGTTTATTGTGTCTGATTGCATCACTATTCAATATATTTATTTTTCTTCTTTTGTTTGTCTTTTTCTCCTACCACAATTTCAGCTCTATGAGGGCAGCATTTTTTTCTTCCTCTACTAGAAAAGTTGCTAGCACATTGGAGTCACATTATAAATATTTGTTTTTGATGAAGCTGCTTACTGTTTTGGGGGAACAGCACTGTCAGCTAATTAACTAAAGATTCCTCATGATCCCACTAAAGTACTGTGATCTGGCATCATTTCTAGGTGGCTGATGCCCAAACCCTTTTGCTGTTAAATATTTAGACTTTTACTTCTGATTTCCTTCTTTGTAAAGGGAAGAATAATGATTTCAATATTCCAAAAACAAATGAATACCAATTACCATTTGGTATATTTTCTTAGCTCTTATTGACTCCTATTTTTAAAAGATGCTGCTGTTACGTCATTGTCAGAATGATTCATTTCCCTTGGCCTTGCTTTAAATATAACTGAAAACCTTCGTCACTAGGTGAAATATCTGCAAACTTTGAATTTCTAACAGCTATTTCCAGTTATACCTACCACCACCTTCCCCCAACTCCAAAACACACAAATGTCTTTGCTGAAAACTCTCATCTGTCACTCTTGGTTAAGAAGCAACAGCTTTTATAATTCTGTCTCTATGCAGATTCCCTCTTTCCCTCTATAAATATAGCAACAAAACTTTTCTAATTGATGTGTTTATGTATTTATCATTATTCTTCTTCTGGTTGTCTTGGAAACAAAGGCAGAGAATATCAGTATTTACGTCAGCTTAGGAATTTCTGTTGAAGAGGGAAGATAGAGACAATAAAATAGGCTTCAGTTGGGCAGAGGTGGCTTCACTTTCACTTTCTTCAAATTGGAAACATGTAGCACAAGTCTTCCTTGATTATTTTCTTGCAGCCATAAGTCTCTTAAAATTTGTGAATACTGGCCATCAATTTACTCCTAGTTGGCGATTGGTCTTTTCATTATTTTAAAAGTGTTTCTTAATTAATAGAAGTTTCTTTTTCTATTTTTTTCTTGAGACAGGGTCTTGCTCTATCACTCAGGCTGGAGTGCAGTGGTGCAATCTCGGCTCACTGTAGCCTCAACCTTCTGATCTCAAGCAATCACCTCACAGTAGCCCTCCACATAGCTGGGACTACAGATGTGCACCACCATGCCCGGCTAATTTTTGTATTTTTGTAGAGATGGGGTTTTGCCATGTTGCCCAGGCTGGTCTTGAACTCTTGAATCCAGGAGATCCACCCTCTTTGGCCTCCCAAAATGCTGGGATTACAGGCATGAGCAATCATGCCAAGCCAAAGTGTTTCCTATAAATCATTTCTAGTTTCCAAATTACTTTTCCTTTAGGTTTGGTCTTTTGTGTTCATGGTTATCCCAAGATCGTGAAGATATTATTATTAATTTTCTCCTACAAGCCTTTAGGTTTTATATTTAATGCTTACATCTAATATCCAACTCAAGTTATTGATAAAACTCAAGATTTATGTCTATTTTTATATAAACTGATACATTTATTGAAAAGCTCATTCCCATTGAATTGCATTACTGTTATAAAATAAGTGACCCTTTACATGAATGTCAAAGTCTGGTCTTCGTTGTATTCCATTAATCTATTTGTCTATTGTTGTATCAATCTACTAAGTGAGACTTTAGAGCTAGTATTGAAATCTAAGTGTGTAATTCATTCTAAGTTTTTCTTTCGTTTCCCTTCTCCAAGTCCTTGACATTTTTATACGAGTGCTGCAATAAACTCATCAATTTTACAATAAAACCTGCTAGAATTCGACTAGAATTATGCTGAGTCAATATATTTTTTGAAACTCTATATCTTAACAATATAGAGTTCTTCAATCAATAAACATGACATATCTATTTTGGTCTTAAAATTTTCTTCCATGTTTTGATGAATTATTTAAGGTTTATTGAGATATAATTAACACATAACAATGTATATATTTAAGATGTACAACTTGTTGTTTTGGTAAGTGTGTATATTGTAAAATAATCACCACAATCAGGCTATTTAACATACCCATCATTTCATATAGTTACCATTTTCTTTTTTCTTTTTGTTTTTTTTGATGGAACATTTAAAATCTACCCTCCCATTTAGCATCTACACTCCTAGCAAATTTCAAACACATACAGTGAATATTGTTAATTACTGTGACGTTACTGTACCTGAGCTCTCAAGAACTTCCTACTGCATACCTGAAATTTTATACGTTTTGACAAATATCTTCCTTCCTCCTCCCCAAAGTTGTTAACAACCACTATTCTACTCTGTTTCTATGAATTTAACTAGTTTAAATTCCACATACGAGTGAGATCATACATAACTTATCTTCTTGTGCATGAGATATTTCATTTAGCATAATATCATTCAGGTTCATCCAAGTTGTCACAAATGCCATGATCTCCTTTTTTAAGGCTGAATAATATTCCATTGTATGTATGTATATACACCACATTTTCTTTATCAAGTTTTTTCATCTATTAAGATCTAGGTTGTTATTGTACTTTGGGTGTTGTGAATAATATGGTAATGAACACAGAATTGCAGGCATTTTCTTGAGATATTTTATTTCCTTTAAATATATACAGTTAGATTGCTAGATCATATGGGAGTTTTACTTTTAATTTTTAAAGAAAATTTTAATTTTTGAAGAAAATTCTGTACTGTTTTCCATAATAGCAATAACAATGTAAATTCACCAAAACAGCACATGTTTTCTTCATGTCTTGGTAATACTTGTTATCTTTTGTCTTTTGATAATTTTCATTCTAACAGGTATGGGGTAATATCACATTGTGCTTTTAATTTTTACTTCATGTTGATAAGGATATTGAGCACGTTTATATACACCTGTTGGCCATTTCTATGACTTGTTTTGATAAATATATATTCAAGACCTAGGCCCATTTTAAAATAATATTATTTTATTTTTTCTTGTTGTTATTGAATTCTTTACATATTTTAATATATAAGGATATTAATCTCTTACTGGATATATGATTTACAAATATTTTCTCTCTTTCTGTAGATTGTCTTTTTCCTCTAATTGTTTCCTTTGTTGAGCAGCTGCTGTGCAGTTTAGTGCCATACCACTTGTCTAATTTTGCTTTTGTTCCCTGTGGTTTTGAAGTCACATCCCCAAAATTACTATCTAGACCATTGTTAAGATGTTCTTCCCTGTTCTTCTGTCTTATGTTTGTCTTTTATTCAATTTGAGTTAATTTTTCTATATGGTGTGTGATAAATGTTTCATCTTATTCTTCTACATGTGGATATCTAGATTTCCTAGCATCACTTAAGAGACTATCCTTTTTTCATTGCATGTTTCGATATGATACTTTTGCAAAGATCAATTGACTGTAGATGCATAGATTTATTTCTGGGCTCCGTTTTCTGTTCCATTAGTTTATGTGTCTGTTTTTATGTCAGTACAATACAGTTGTGATTACCATAGCCTTACAATATCTTTTGAAATCTGTAACTGTGATGCTTCCAGCTTTACTCTTCGTGCTCAGGATTGCGTTGGATATTTGAGGTGTTCTGTACTTCCACATGAATTTTAAGACATTTTTCTGTAAAGATAGCTATTGGTAATATGATAGAGACTGTATTGAATCTGCAGATGACTTTGGGTAATGTGGACATTTTATATTATCAACTCTTTAAATCTATGAACACAAGTTGTCCTTCCGTTTATCTGTGACTTCTTTAATTTTCATCAACAATGTTCTATAATTTGCAGTGTACATATCTTTTACCACTTTGGTTCAGTTTATTCCTAAGTATTTCATTCATTTTGTTGCTATTGTAAATGAAATTGTTTTTGTTTTAATTTGCTTGTTGGATTGTGTGATGTTTTTGTAAAGAAACATCATTGACGTTTCCATGTAATTTTGTACCTTGCAAGTTTACTGAATGTGTTTCTAACAGGTTGAATGTACTCTAACAGGATTTTGTTGTTGTTTTGTTTTCGTTGTTGACCCTTTAGATTTTTCTACATATATGATTATACAATCTGCGTAAGGAGAATATTTTACTTCTTCCTCTTAGATTTGGATGACTTTTAATTCTTTTTTTTCCATCTAATTGCTTTAGCTACAAATTCCATACTACGTTGACTAGAAAGTGGTAAGAGCAGGCAGACTTACCTTGTGCAGAAACTTAGAGTAAATGCTTTCATTTTATACCTAGAATGAGAGTTGTAGGCTCTTCATAAGTAACCTATGTTGTGTGGAGGTAAGTACCTTGTCTATCTATTGTTTTCAGAGGTTTAATCATGAATAAATTAATTTTGCCAAATGCTTTTCCTACACCTACTGAAATTATTATGTGGTTTTTATTTTTAGTTTTCTTAATGTGGTATATCACATTGATTGATTTGCAAATGTTGAAACATCATTGCATCCCAGCAATCAATCCTACATGGTCATGGTGTAACAACCTTTTAATGTGCTGTTGAATTCAGTTTGCTGCATTTTATTGAATATTTTGAATCTATGTTCACCAAAAACATTGGTCTATAGTTTTGACAGTTTGTTTGTTTGTGCTGTCTTTGTCTGACTTTGGTAACTGGGTAATACCGGCCCCATAAAATGAGTTCAGAAGTGTTCTTTCTTCTACTTTCTGGAAAAGTTGAAGAGGACTGGTATTAACTTTTATGTGGATTTTTGGTAGAATTCACTTGTGAAGCCATCAGGACCTAAATTTTTCTTTTTGGGGAGGTTTTTAATTACCTACTAAATTTCCTTGTTATCTGAACAGGCTATATTTCTTCTTGATTCATTTTAATCAGGTTTTATGTCCATAGGCATTTATCCATTTCGTTCAAAATATCCAGTTTGTTTTTATATAATTGTTCATAGTAATCTCTTGTGATTCTTTTCATTTCTGAGGCATCCATTGTAATATCTCCTCTTTCATATCTATTTTTATTTGTCTTCTCTCTTTTTTCTTAGGTGGTCTAGCTAAGCATTTATATTTTTAAAAAAATTTTCCAAGAACCAACTCTAAAAGCAATTGATTCTTTTATATTATTTTTAAATCTACTTTTGACTTATTTCTTCCTTAATTATTTCCTTTCTTCTGCTAACTTGGTACTTAGTGTTATTTTTTTCTTACTCTTTTTCTTTCAGATACAAATTTGGATTTTTATTTAAGATTTTTCTTTTTTATTGTAATAAATTTTAGCTATAAACTTTTTAATATATCTGTTGCTGCATCTCATAAATTTAATAGGATACATTTTCATTTTCATTTGGCTGGAGCTATTTTTTAATTTCCTTTGGATTTTCTCTTTGACCCAATGATTGCTTAAGAACGTATTGCTGGCCAGGAGCGGTGGCTCATGCCTGTAATCACAGCACTTTGGGAGGCTGAAATGGGTGGATCATGAAGTCAGGAGTTTGAGACCAGCCTGGCCAACATAGTGAAATCCCATCTCTACTAAAAATACAAAAAAGTAGCCGGGCATGGTGGCACACGCCTATAGTCCCAGCTACCTGGGAGGCTGAGGCAGGATAATTGCTGGAACCCAGGAGGCAGAGGTTACAGTGAGCCAAGATGGTGCCACTGCACACCAGCCTGGGTGGCAAAGTGAGACTCCATCGTAAAATATATACATATATATATATATATATATATATGGCTTAATTTCAATGTATTGTGAATTTATCGTTTTTTTTCTGTTATAGATTTCTAGTTTCATTTCATTGTGATTAGGATAAATGCTTGGAATCATTCTGATCTGAAGTTTGTTAAGGCTTGTATTGTAAACTAACATATGATCTATTCTGAGTAATGTTCCATATGCACTTGAGAAGAATGTGTATTCTTCTGTAGATGGCTGGAAAGTTCCGTATATGTGTGCTAAGTCCATTCAATCTAGAGGCTAAGTCAGCTGTTTATTAATTTCTATCCGTATATTCTATTCATTATTGAAAGCAGGATATAGAAGTCTCCTAGTATTATTGTATTCTTGTCAATTTCTCTCATCCAATCTGTCAATATTTACTTCACATGTCTAGGTGCTTTAATGTGGAGTGCATATACATTTATAATTGTTACACCTTCCTGTGAATTGACCCTTTTGTCCTTATATAATGACTTTTTGCTCTAGAAACAATTTTTGAGTTAACATCTATTTTTTTTCTGGTATAAGGATAGCCACTCTGCTTTCTATTGGTTACCATTTACATGAAATATCTTTTTCTAGCCCTTTACTCTTACCCTATGTAGGTCTTTAAGTCTAAAATGAGTGTCTTCTGGACAGCATATAACTAGGTCTTTTATTTTATGTTTTTAAACCATTCAGAAACTCTATGGTTTTTGATTGAAACATTTAATCTTTTTATAGTTAAAATAATTATTGATGATGAGAAATTATTATTGACATTTGGTTTATTGTTTTTGTTTGTTTCACAGTTGTTTTGTTCCTCTATTCACTTGCCTTCTTTTTTTACTTGCTAATGTTTGTACTGATTTGCTTTGGTTCTTTTCCCTTCATTTTGTGTCTTTGTGTTCAGTTTTTTTTTCTTTGTAGTTACCTCTAGGCTTGCATAAAATATCTTGTAGTTATGACTCTCTATTGTAGGTTGATAATAACTCAGTTTCAATCACAGGAAAAAACTTTACACTTTTACTCTCTTCCATCCTTCCACATGTAAATTGTATGTTCTTGTAGTCAGAGTTGACTTCTTTTTATATTGTGTTACCAGTAACAAACTTATCTTTCAACTTTTATAGTAGCATTATAAAAGTAATTTATGCACCACCATTAGTGTTACATTATTGTGTATTTGCTTATATAGTTATCTTTACCAGTGAGATTCATGCTTTCATAGAATTCCAGTTTTATGGATATTATAGGTGACATGTAATTTTCTCTTGGGCTTTCAAAATTCTCTTTGTCTTTCAATTTTTAAAACTTAATGATAATGATAATGCATTTTAGTGTGGACCTTTTTTTTGTTCAACCTGTTTGTTTCCACTGGGCTTCTTAATATGAATATCTGTTTATTTCCTCAGATTTGAGTAATTTTCTGTCATTATTCCTTTAAATAATTTTTCTGACCTGCTCCCTTTCTCTTTTTATTCTGAAACTTCCTCAGTGTGTCAGTAGGTACCTTGATGGTGTTCCGTTAGGCCTGTAAACTTTCTTCATTAGTTTTTATTAGTTTTACTGTTTTTCTGCTCTGGCTAGGTAACATTAAATGCCCTGTCTTTGAATTTGCTGATACTTTCTTCTGCTTGATCATTCTGTAGTTGAAGCTCTCTTTTGCACTTTTTCTTTTATTCATTGTGTTCTTCAGCTCCAGAATTTATTTGGTTCTTTCTTATAACTTCTATCTTTTGGCTTAATTTCTGTTTTTGTTCATATATTATTTTCTGATTTTATTGAATTGCCTATGTGTGTTTACTCGTATCTGGATGAGCCACTTTTAAACCATACATACAAAAAATTACTTGAATTCTTCTTAGGCAATATTTATGTTTCCATTTCTATGTGTTTTATTATTGGAAATGTATGTTTTATATTGTTGATGTCATGTTTTCCTGACTTTTTTGTTCTTTGTAGAATTGCATTGGCATTTGCATTATTAAAGCAGTGAATTACCGTCCAAGACTTTACAGACTGGCTTTGGTCTGAAAGGACTTTTACCTGCAGCTGGGCATGAGTTGCTGACTGGATGGGGTATGGTTGGGTACTTTTTATGGATCCAAGGGGTACATGGTAGCCCTGAGTCTAAGGCTGCTTTGAATACAAATAGTGCGTGAGCTAAGAAGGGACAGTGGCCACAGCTCTGGGAAGGCAGTGTTAGCAGTGACTCAAGCTCTGGGTGTGGATTGAGATGTATTGGTGTGGGCTCTAGGAGGCTATATCAGCTGAGGTCTTTATTTAAAAAGACTGTTCAAGTCCTCTATAATGAATTGCATCTGTGGTGCTGGTGTGCTCTGTGACAAGGGCTACTGAATTTCCCGTGTTTTACTTTTCCCATGTAGAGGGAAGTCACAGTCAAGTAGATTCTTCTTGGTGCTTTCCTGTGCCAGAATGCAAGATGAGATAATACAGGAAAAATGCTTTCTACACTTTTCTCTGTGGTCACCATCAGTTTTTATATTCCACTGGGTTGCATTAACTTCTTAATTGCACTCCAGAGCTCTCCCAGAGCTATTTTTGACAATTAATATTTGTTTAATCATTCTTTGTGTGAGGGGGCAAGGGCTTGGACCTCCTATTCTGCCATGTTGCTGAAATCACTCTCTCCTTTGTTCATTTTAGAAGTCTTCATAGGAGTTTATCACATATGCCACCCACATTTCTGTATTTGTAAAATACACTCTCCACTGAATCATTACATGACTCAAGGGCTTGACTATGTATTTAAACTATTTTAAACTCAAACTTTTTAAATGCAATTATTACAAAGGGTGATTGTTACCCATGGTGGATGTCATCTAAAATGTTTGTAATAGAGAGTCGGTCATTCCTGAGGCCTCTGCCCTATTCTCTCTCATCCCACTTTTTTTCCTCCTTCCTCCTATGTCCTCTATAGCACTATAGAAGCCAGAGTTTCTCAGCTGATACTGTGCTGTTCCCCAGAGCTATAAGAAAGCTTAAGATCAGCTGCGATTTACTGAAGCAATTAAATTAAGTTATTATTTTCTGGAAGTAGCATTAACCAGTACTAAATAAGATAAGAAAATATTTACAGAAGTTACATTGAGCATTCCTGGCATTTAAGCGGTTTTTTTAGGAAGACGTTGCATCGAGTTTTAATATTTTCCCCTATCACTTGGTGGGGTTTTATTTGTCCAATGATTTAATATCTGATCCAAAACAATTATGACCTAATTTATAGCAATAAATCAAAATTCTGTCATGATATGCAGAAATCATGGTAAAGAGTATGAGACAAGATTCAAGATGGTCAACTAGATGCAGCCAAAAGGAACATCTGTCACTGAGAGAATACATCATCTGGAAGACTGGTGCACTCTGCAAAGATCGTCAAAGGGAAAGTATTGGAATGGATGGCCAGATGACAGAGATGCTGAGCTGAAGGAGGAGGAAGCTAGGAAATCTGCATGGGGCTGCTATGCACAGGGACTCATTCCTAGCCCCCAGTGACTCCTGGGGGAAGGGATGAGTTAAACAGGTGAGGAGTGACCCACTCTCACCAAGGACCTGTGGTAACTTGGCAGCAGGAGACCCCATGACCCTCACAGTCACTTGATCTGGCAGGGAGAGTTGTTTAGAGAGGTGGTAGGGGGCAGGACTCCAGCCTGTGCAGAGCCCACAGGGTTTGATATGGGAACATATGCAGTGGAACATGTCCAGGAAAACCAATCCCCCAAGGCTCACCATGCTCCTCTAGGAGATTTTAGCCTTATGGTAACTGTCAGAACTGGACAGAGCAGGGTGGTCTTGCCTGTAAGATAGGGCCAATCCTATGTGAGCACACTCCATCCTCTGACCTCCCTGGGGCACCCAGCCTGGCTGTGCCTGCTTGTAGTGAAGCATTCAATGCCCAGCTGAGGTACTTCCTGTGGGTCCTCATCATAGATTCTTCACTGACAGACCATGCCTGGCCATTGGAGAGCACCAGTAGAGTGGTCCCTGCCAACGTGCACCAGCCCACCCGCACCTTCCTCCCACCACAACCTCCCTCACGCTACCTCGCCAGCATGCACGTACCCATGGCCACCACCCCCCACTGCTTTGCTGGCACATGCCCGTGGATGGACCTCATCTCCTCTGCCCCATTGGCACACATGTGTGCATATCCTGCCACACAACTATAGCTGGTGTGAGTTCACATCACGCCCACCTTAGCTGCACAGCCATTGCCAGCATAAACACACACATGAACATGACAACCCCATCCCCCACTGTGCTGCCACTGCCACCACTGTGAAGGCATGCACAACCCTACCCCCTGCAATGCTGCTACAGTTGCCACTGAAATGCACCCATGGAGGCTGGCTTCTCTGCACCCACCAGTCCCCCACCCCTGTTGCTGTTACTGCTGCCAGTATGAGCACATTCAGGAACACTGCAGCTTCACTTCCAGTGGCACCCCACCCCAGCCAATGATGCTGCTGTCATGGTGCCGCCGCTGCTGCTGCTGCTGACATATGCAAACAGGCACAGATCCTACTGTTACCACCCTGACAAAGTGCTTTGGCTGGCCCCACCGATCATAGTGCTTTGCCCAGCAATCAGGGAACAACTCAACCCCTCCAGAGCAGCATGTTTCTAACCTCGATGGGCCAGAGAAAAAAGCTAGGGGACCAATACTAGCCCTCCAGAGTTAACACACATAGCCTAGGAGTGCTGAGCTGAGCACTGACCCCCAAAAATATTCAGAAATGAAGCCAGTAGACTGAACTTACCTTATACCACAACAAAACCCCCAAGGGCATCAAAGAAGATAAAATCAAAGAACTCATCCAAATAATAGCAACTTCAAAGGTTGAAGGAGTATCAGCCCACGCAGATGAGAAAGAACAAAAACACGAACTCAAAAAGCCAGTTTCTTCTTACCTCAATATGATAGCATTAGTTTTCCAGCAATGGTTCTTAACCAGGCTGAAATGGCTGAAATGACAGACATAAAATTCAGAATATGGATAGAAACACAGATTATCAAGATTCAAAAGAAAGTCAAAACTCAATCCAAGGATTCTAAGGAATCCAATAAGATGATATGGAAGCTGAAAGACAAAAATTGCCATTTTGAAAAAGAATCAAACTGATCTGATACAGATGAAAAACTCACTTCAATAATTTCAGAATATAGTCACAAGTATTAATAGCAGAATTTGCCAAGCTGAGGCAAGAAGCTCAGATATCAAAGACTGATTCTCCATAATTACTTAGACAAAATTAAAGAAAAAAGATGAAAAATAAATAAAACCTAAAAATATGAGATTATGTAAACTGATCAAATCTACATCACATTGGTATCCCTGAAAGACAGGGAGAGAAAGCAAGCAACTTGGAAAACATATTTCAGAATATTGTTCATGAAAATTTCCCCAACCTCACTAGAGAGACCAACATTCATATTCAAGAAATCCAGAAAACCCCTCCAAGATACTATGCAAGATATTCATCCCCAAGACATATAGCCATCTGATTCTCCAAGGTAGAAATGAAGGAAAAAATGTTAAAGGCATCTAGAGAGAACAGTCAGGGCACCTACAAAAGGAACCCCACCAGGCTACTGGTGAAACTTTCAGCAGAAACTATACGATCCAGAAGACATTTTGGCCAGAAGACATCTCAGCATTCTTAAGGTAAAGCCAGAGGACATTTCAGCATTCTTAAAGAAAAGCCAGAAGACATTTCAACATTCTTAAAGAAAATAAATTTCAACCAAAAATTTCATATCCAGCCACACTAAACTTCCTAAGTGAAGGAGAAATAAGATCCTCTTCAGACAAACAAATGCTAAGGAAATTTGTTACCACCTGCTTTACAAGAGGTCCTGAAGGGAGTGCCAAGTATGTAAAGGAAAGACCATTACCAGCAGCCACACACACACAAAATACTTAAGTACATAGACCATTGAAATTATAAAGCAACTACACAATCAAGTCTGCGTAATAACCAGCGAAAAACACTATGACAGGATCAAATTCACACATCTCAATATTAACTATGAATGTAAATGAGATAAGTCCCACAGTTAAAAGGCACAGAGTGGCAAATTGGATAAAGAAGCAAGACCCAATGATAGGCAGTCTTCAAGAGACCCATCTCACATGCAGTGACACCCATAGGCTCAAATAAAGGGATGGAGGAAAATCTACTAAGCAAATGGAAAACAGAAAAAAGTGGGGATTGCTAGTCTAATTTCAGACAAAACAGCCTTTAAACAAAGAAAAAATCAAAAAAGATAGGAGCAATACATAATAGTAAAAGGTTCAATTCAACAAGAAAGTCTAACTACTCTACATACATATCCACCCAAAACAGGAGCACCCAGATTCACAAATCAAGTTCTTTTAGACCTAGGAAGAAATTTAGATAACCACAAAATAATAATGGGGGACTTCAACAGCCCACTGACAGTATTAGACAGATCATCAGTGCATAAAACTAACAAAGATATTCAGGACCTGATCTGAACACTTGACCAATTGGACCTAACAGATGTCAACAGAACTCTTCGCCCAGAAACAACAGAATATGCATTCTTCTCATATGCACATGACACAGAATCTAAAAGTGACCACGCTTTCATCCGTGAAACAGTCCTCCAGAAATCCAAAAAACAAACGGAAAAACCCCACAAAAATCATACAAACCGTACTCTTGGGCCAAAACACAATAAAAATAAAAATCGATGCTAAAATTTAGCTCAAAATCATATAATTACATGGGAATTAAACAGTCTGCTACTGAATGAAATTAAGATAGAAATCAAAACTTTCTTTGACAGTATTAAGAACAAAGATACAATATACAATAATCTCTGGCCTACTTGAGAGTAGAGGAGGGTGAAGATAAAAAAATTACCTATCAGTTACTGTGTTTATTACCTGAGTGATAAAATAATCTGTACACCAAACGCCTGTGACGTGCAATTTATCTATCTAGTAAACCTGCACATGCACCCTTGAACCTAAAAAGAAAGTTAAAAAAAAGAAAAAAAAGTTTTGGCATAAAAAAAAAGAATGTGATACATTCAATTCCATTTTCTCTTCATAAAGAAGTATTTTCCCACAAGTAACGCTCATCAACATGTATAGATCCTTGTAATTCCAATGTATTTTTAGGACTATTCACACAGACCATAAAAGTCACTCTTCAAGTTTCTCAAGTTTTGTTTTGTTGTCTCAACTCTACTATTAAGTAATGCCCATCCCAGCAGGAAGCACTGAGTTGAGATAACCAAAACATTTGTGCAACCTCAGGTACAGCTCTGCTATAGCTCGGAAATATGTGCCAATTTTCTTTCATGCCTAGTTCCCCAAAATACTGCTTTCTTTTTACTTATTAACAGGAGAGAAACGGTTTGGTTGAACAGTCATTACTTCTATTCGGAAACAGCTTTGCATGTTAAAAATAACGAAGCCATGAAATCTGGGTGTCTTACCTATCTGGATAAAACCTTACAGATATTACAGTAGAGAACAATTCCACATTGTGTCAAAGGCTGAATCAGCCTTTTTTTCTCTTGCACTCACTTCTTAGATCCTATTATGATGGAAATGTGTCACGAATGAGTTCCAATTGCATCCAGACTTAAAAAGCTATTTCATAACTGCTTTTAATCTGACTATTTAAAAGTATAACATGAGATAAGATTTTCTATCTCCCATATGGAAATATAAATTATTAATAAGAAAAGAGTAGTTATTCCCAAATTCTCAAATTCCTTTTTTCACATGAAATTATGAAATCATGCTTCTCTGAGTGTTCAAGAAAAAGGAGGCATGTCACTATAATTAAAAACACACCCCTACTCCTCTTACTTGTAATAAAAAAAGTCAATTCAGAAATTATTGATGGCTTACAGTCAAATGCCCAAATGATATGCTTAACCAACATTAAGTCAGCTGTAATAGGCTGACAATTTATTTCATTTTCTATATATGTATTTTTAAACTCCAGTAGTAGCTACCTTTAATATATTCCCCATGAAGAATAAAAGTCTACAATAATGTAATTTAAAAATAATGCTGCCTTTAAATTTCAGAGTAAGGATTAAAAAGAACAAAGCCATATAACAGAGACTATGGTTGTGCTTTTCCTGAAAGTACTGAATATATCGTTAGCACTTGTTAAACATTTACTTCTCTTGCAAGTAACCTATGCTTTTTCTCCTCTCATAAATTCAATAGAAATTCTTACTATAAAGCCAATAAAGGCTTGTTTGTTTTCAATGCATGTGTTAGTTATCAACCAGATGAGACCATTGGCAGGTTTCCAAAACTCAATTTTGAAGCCAGTTTTTGCTCTTTGATTCTGTGAGTCACTTTTTTAAAAAACATTGGGCTAGTGATACGTTAAACTAAGTAATGGAGTATCTAAGCTCTCCAAGTCAATAGACCTACCTCTTTTTTTTTTAATCACTGTAACATGGTTTTCCAGATTTTACAGTATCCAAAATACCCCAGTACCAAGTAACACAGAGTACTCTTTCTTTGGCAGGGAATATAGGGTAAATATTTCATAGCACAATGAAGGCTGGGCAAATTGGTAAAGAATTATTTATTGGGTAACAAAAAATGTAAGTAAACCTTGTCAAGGTCTACCCTTGAAAATGTTGCTGAAATATCTTTACCTCTGCTCCTTTTTTTTCCCATCTGGAAAATCTTATTGCATTATTGAATATTGTTGCTAATGAGTTTTTAAATGAAAACTGCTAAATTAGGAAGTTATTCCACCTTTCATTAAAAAATCATCAGGGCCCAGGCTCCTGCCCCGATAATTAAAGCCTAATATGTAATATTCATGATAGTTATAATTTCTGCATTACCTATGCCTGTGAATCTCTGAGTGTCTATTGATAGCTAAGGGTTGGCTTTTACTTAATTATGATGATCTTTCTAGTAACACTGCAATTGTTTTCCCGAAAGCTTGAGGCCTATAACTATTCATGAATCACTTCCCCTGCACATGAGTTGCAGCCCAAAATGAATTATCCTGTTTCCTTTCATCAGGCCTTAATTTTAATAATTACTTGCTGCACAAATAAAATAAGAGAAGCAATGAAGCTCTCATTACTGATAAAAGTCACATGTGTCTTTGATACAAGTTATTTTTGGCTACTCTCCTTGAAGTTTTCTGCAAATTTTGAATGAGATAGCTAGGATGGGATAGAACATAACTACAAATATTACCTGGAGAAGTTATTAACTGCACACTGATACATTTAAATTGCACTGTCTTGTTTTAAATTGTTTACAGTGGTTTTAGGATGGCCCTTCTGTAATTTAATGTTCATGTGCCTAGTTCTATAACCAGATAGTAATATTCTTTTTGTTTGTTTTTTTGTTCGTTTTTGAGACAGAATTTCACTCTTGTCACCCAGGCTGGAGTACAATGGTGCCATTTCTGCTCACCGCAACCTCCGACTCCTGGGTTCAAGTGATTCTCTAGCCTCAGCCTCCCAAGTAGCTGGGATTACAGGTGCCTGCCACCAGGACCAGCTAATTTTTCTATTTCTGGTAGAGACGGGGTTTCGCCATGTTGGCCAGGATGGTCTCGAACTCCTGACCTCTGGTGATGATCCTGCCTTGGCCTCCCAAAGTGCTGGAATTACATGTGTGAGCCACCGTGCCTGGCCCAGATGGTAATATTCTTGAAGGAAGCTTCTAGGAAGAGTTTAAAAACCAGCTCATTCCTAAGATACAGTTTAGGGAAATTGGAAAATAAAATGAGTTAGAACAGGTAGGGTGATAAAAAGAAATGCAGCAAGACATGTTAATGCTCAGGACTGTTTAAAAGGTTAGGCAGAAATTAAACTTAAGGATTCTCTGGAGCACTACTCTTAAACATTGTTGTGGGCATCTGGATAAGCATAAGAGGATGTATATGCAGTCATGTACTTTGTAGCCCTGAGTAAATAATGCATTTCAAAGTTAAGTACGCATACATTTTTTTTTTAACCTCGCTTAGGTTTACTGGTTGCCAGAGGTACCAAAATCTACAGAAGTGTTGGTAAGCATAATAAATGATGTTTACTGGTTAAATTGTCAGATGTTTGTTTGTAGCAAAAAGGGAAGACTATTCATTGCATCTATAAGTTATGTTGCTTTTTCTTTAAAAAAAAAAAACAGAGGAAACCGTATATCACATTAGATGATATACAATTATTGTAACAATATTAAAATCAGAGTTCTTTTGGAACCAAGGCTACTGAACATGATGAATGGAAGTGATGTCCTAACAATTTGATTCTTTGTCATTTTTTATTTCATAAATATTTTATGACACCTGAAATTCATGGCAATGAGCATTAAGCATCCTGCTTGAACCTCCTGAAAATGGTGACCTGGGAATGCATATGTCTGTCAGACAGTAAGATAAGGATAAAATTAAGGAAAATATGATGTAGACTTTCAGATTCTCCAAGACTGTAGTATCATCTGTAGTGTCTTCCTAATGATGGAATTAAATTTCCCAGATAATGCAAAAGCTGATGAGACAAAAGAGTGTTCTGTTGCCTTTGTATTTCCTTCTAATTGTCTGTGTTAACCCTGTGGCAGGCAATTAGTACAAAGAAATTGGAGAACATGAAATGCCCCATTAATTACTAATAAAATATATAGGTCTGGTTCTAGGACACACAGTGTGGGTGGAGCACCTCTTGCAAGAGCTTGCCTCCCCTCCTGAGCACATCATTGCAGGGCTTTATTGCTGAGGGGCACCAAGACTCATCATCCGCGTTTCAATCCTCATAAGCAGCTAGGGAAAAGGGGGATGGGAGGTAAGAGGACAAAGACTGTTGTAAGTATGAAGCAGGAGGAGAATATGTTTCCATCTCTGCAATCATCTCCTTTAAAGCTTCCACGAACATTGAACCAAAATTCCCCATGAGAGTAGCAGCTAGTTTCTGGTGGCCACGTGCCTGGCCACAGTTGCTCTCTTTGATGGCTGCTCTGTGCTTATGTGGCCAATACGCATGAAAACATTATTCCATCCTAATTGTGCACCTGGGTTTATTCTAGATTTTAGGATTATAGGAGAAAACAATTCCATTTTGTGTTTAAGAGCTCTGGAGTCAGGCAAACCTCTTAAAACACCTCAGTTACCGACTACTGTTGTGAATGTGAACAAATACCTTTTCCATACCTCATTTTTACCTAAAAATGTGTGCAAGAATAGAACCTATTTTAAAATTTGGAGAGTGTTAAATAATTCACATACATCACTTAGTAAAGTGTGATTAATGTTTACATATTGGCGAATGTTGTTAATATTATTGTTTCAGTGAGTGCTCACACACTACGTCAGGCACTATACTAAGTGCTGGATTTTACAAATGCGTGTATCCTGGCCTCCCTGCTTACCTGGGATAGAAACCAGGGTCAAAAATGCTTCTCTGTAGAATAAATTTCCTCCTGTTTTGCTGCTGGTTGCACCTGTAAGTCTTTTCTCTGGTGATGAGCCTCTAAGTCTAAAGGGTCTCATTAGTGAGGTCATTACTGAGTGTCTTGACCTGAGAGACTCTCCTGGCTACCTAGAAGCCTTCAGTGTGTCTGTGCTCAGGGATAACCTTATCTATTAAGTGAATAAAGGATGCTGCCATTTACTCAGCAGTTCTATTGACCAGACTATGAGGAGACGTCTACATTTACTGTGACTCCTTCCTTCCCTCCAAAGGACTCCTTCCTTTCCTCCAATAAGATGTGGCATCTAATTTTTGGACACTTAAAATGAGGTACATAGACATTTAAATTACAATAACACAAGAAACCACAGAAAGAAGAAAAAGCTAGATGAGGAATACTGCGAAGTTTGCAATCATTCAGCCTCCTTTTGACTCGATTGTGCATTAGTATTAAGGGGTGGGGTTTTTCAATTCTCTTGATTCCTTAGCTCCTTGCTCTGCTAGTAATACCCTGTTTGAAGTAAGTAATTTAATGACCCTTAACTTCAGCTTCTTCATCAGTGCAACGGAGTTAATCACAACACCTCCACTTACGGTTATTGCAAGGTGATGTACCATATCTGGTATCAGCACAGTTTGTCATGTATAATTGGCTCTCAACAAATGGCGCCAATTAGAACAATCCAAGGTGAATAGATTGGGGGCTTGTAAGTGTGTTCTTTCCCTCTATGAAAGAGAGGTTAAAATGGCTTACAGCATAATTTTCAGGTACTTGTAGGCTGATTTTGATTAAGTGTCCAGATGTCTTTCTATTTTACAGTTTCCATCTCTGTTTAAGGTCACCAGGCGTTGATACCCCAAAATTGTTTTCTTTCTTTCTCTCCCATTTTTATTCTTATTGGAACCAAATTCCAAAAATAAGGATAGTTTGCTTTTCAATAATTTTTAACTGTTTCTGTTATGTAAAGCACCATCTTAAAATAAATGAAGTGAAAATTACTGAAAACTAGTTATGTAAATAAGTAGACAGATATATTTTATATATATATATATTCATTCCCCCATGCTTTGTCATCTTTATGTGATGAAACAGTGAGTGAGAATATATAATGAAATGAGTAAAAAGAGAGGGAAAATTGTTCTACAATTGTACTAAGCATATGATGGTACAATTAAGTATTCATATGAAACCTTTTCATATTGTTTACAAAACAAATAAAATTTAAAAATCTGTTCCTCAACAGAAAATATTTTCTCGTTGTTGAAGTTTTACATTCTTTTATGATTTATGAAATCACTGCTCCATGATAAAGAAGCTAGGGGTACACCAGGCTAATTATGTTCTTGGTTTTAGTCCAGAACAGATATTATTGCAACTTGTTGGTGAGTTTAGTGGACTGCTAAATCAAGAATTTCCTAAAACAAACTCAATTTTTCCCAACTTTTGCCAAAGCATCAGGTTACAGAAGAGAGTACTTAAGGTTATGAAACATTGGATAAAACATTATAAGCTTCAGTTCTTATCGAAGCAAAGCTAATTTGATTTAAAATGAGCAAAGTTTTAGCTTTACCCTTAGATTCCGTAAAATAATACATCTTATGTGGAAAAGTCCAAATTTATTTTTTTTTAAATTGTCTTGAATTGAGGTGAAAGGGTGAGAAATGTGGGTGTTTTCATCCATTTTCATGTTTCTCATAAAGACATACCCAAGACTGGGCAATGTACAAAAGAAAGAGGTTTATTGGACTTACAGATCCACATGGCTGGTGGAGGCCTCACAATCATGGCAGAAGGCAAGGAGGAACAAGTCACATCTTACGTTGATGGCAGCAAGCAAAGAGAAAGAGAGAGCTTGTGCAGGGAAATTCCCGTTTTTAAAATTATCAGATCTCATGAGACTTATTCACTATCATGAGAACAGCATAGGAAAGACCCACCCCCAGAATTCAACCATCTCCCACCGGGTCCCTCCCACAACACATGGGAATTATGGGAGCTACAAGATGAGATTTGGATGGGGACACAAAGCCAACCATATCAGTGGGGAAATCATCTGTTGGTGCCAAAATGGCATGAGTAGAGGTGGGTTCCTTATTTATAGCCCTGGTTTTTAAATGTCAAGCATTTTCAGGATTATTTACCTGGTGAACCATTAATTTCTTAACTTCCTTTGGATTCCCATTATAAGCTGCTATATATATGATATTATGTCATGTTATGTATATTATATTATATTGAATTATATGAAAGTCATCACTGGTGATGAGAACTGATCAGTAGAATCTGATCCAATGAAAATGATTTATAATATGAAAGTATCATGTTCTTACTTTGACCACCTTTCCCTGTAACTAATTTCTGTTCATATTTTAAGACTCAGCTCTAATGGTTACCTTCTAATTGTTTTCATAGTTATTCTCACTGTCAGTGACTTTAGTTAGTGGTAGACTCTATTATTATAACCTGAGACCTTGATTTTGTGCTACTTGTAGTTCTTGCTCGGGATATCATGATTAACCATTTGTCCTCCCAACTGAATTGAAAACTGCTCAATACTAGAGACAGTGATGTCACATGACAATCAAAATAGTCTTCAAGTAAACACCAGACATCCTTGGGACTGTCTGAAGAGCACTCTCTTTTCTATAAAATTGTATCTAAATAAAGGATCTGATCTAATCTATAGGCCATGGTTATATTTGGCTGAAATACTGATAACTGACCTCAAGATGTTTGCTTCATTGGTGCCCTTCACAGTAACCAAGTGAACTATGCTTATGTTTAAATTAGCAAAGTTAAGGTCTACAGAATGAAGCAACAGTAAGGAAAACAGAACTGGGTGATGAGGTAACGTAAGAGTACTTGTGGTGGAAGTTGGGGAGCCTAGAAAGCAGTGAGAAGAGAGACCAATAGCTACAATCTGAGTGAGAATCACACATGTCTCCCAACCTGTGTCAGGGACTGTTAATGTCCACTTCTATGAGGTTCCCAAGAGAGAGAACACGTTCTGTGGCAGATAAGAGATAATTCTATGCACAGCATGGAATCTGTCCTTGGCTATGTTCCTGGTATATCCCCTGTGCAAGCCATCCTTAAATTTTATATTCGTATTAGTCAATTTTCACACTGCTGTAAAGATGCTACCTGAGACTGGGTAATTTATAACGGAAAGAGGTTTAATTGATTCACAGTTCCGCATAGCTGGGGAAGCTTCAGGAAACCTATAATCATGGTAGAAGGTGAAGGAGAAGCAAGCACATTCTTTACAAAATGGCAGGAGAGAGAGAGAGAGCAGGGAAAACTGGCATTTTTAAAACCATTGGCTCTCATGAGAACTCCGGCCCTATTATGAGAACAGCGTGGCAGAAACTGCCTCCATGATCCAGTCACATCCCACCAGGTCCCTCCCTTGACATGTGGGGATTACAATTCGAGAAGAGATTTGAGTGGGGACACAGAGCAAAACCAAATCAATATGGAATAGAGCTTTTCAAATGAAAAACAAAACAAAACAAAACAAAAAACCAAAAGGAATGATTGTACTGAAATCTGTGAAATGCTTTGGGACTTAAACAGCATTTCTTGAGTGCCCCACTCACTGTGACCGAAAAGGAGAGAGATCTTTCCCTTTTCATTGTGATACAATCTACAGTTGAGGCAGATACAGAGGACAGGACTGTTCCTGGGGGAAACAGCAGCACCTGGGGGGCATGTGATTACCCATCAGGGGTCTCTATGTACTTAGGAATTCCACTGAGCAGTAACAGCGGATCCAGCAGGAAACTGGCTTGTTGTGAGCACATGCTATTCACCTCTCTGAGGATCCCAGATTTGTTTGGCTAGGACAGGAAAATGACTTTCTAGAGGACTGGAAGTCAGAGTCAGTGAAAGTGACTTTATTATTAATATTGTGACTTGCAACCATCACCACCTATTAAAGGATAAATAGTCTTGGATTTCAGTATTAATATTTCAGGCAAATCTCTCCAACTATAGAAAAAGAATCAGAATTCAGGATACAAAACTCTTCTCTGAGGTGGACTTATTTATGACTTTTGAGTATGAAGTCAGTGAAAATTGGGTTGACTCAAAGTTCTTATTGTAGAAATTAATAGTTAATTCTTCTATATACACCAGAAATCATTCAGAGAGGATAATAATTCTTCCTTTGGACAAATATTTTAAACATTGAAAGTACTCAGGTAATCATTATGAAGTGTGTGATGAACACTTTCAGACTTTTTTTAAAATTTAATGTAACAAACACCTTCTGAACAAGGAAGGGATGTGAAACTAAGGGATATAATTGCTCCATGGAAAATTCTCTTGTTTCTTAAGTGTGAAGTTTTATATCAAGGACAGAAGTTTATTAGAAATTTCGCCATAAACCCAGAGATTGAACTCTTAAGATTTTAAAAGAAACAAAATTCTAGAATTAATTTTGGGCATTCATCGAACATGGTAGAATTGTAGTTCTCACTGATGCCTTCAGGAATCCTGCATGGTCCTCCCTGCCTTCTCAAGGGCAATTTGTCTTTCCAGAAGTACATGTGACTTGAACTATAGATCAAAAGCGCTAGAGGTCTGGGTCCTTTTTAGCCAATCATATTTGTATTAACATTTTCACCATCGTCGGCGTCATGAACATTTCACTAAGTGATTAGTATATGCCAGGCACTATGCTAAATTATCTACTTATAGATTTATTTAATTCTCTTTAAACAGCCCAGTGAATCAAGTAGTTTTAATCCCATTTCTCACTTCTTCTAATGAGAAGACTAGAAATAAGTAATAGGTTCAAATTCACAGAGATAAGTGGCAGAGCTACGACTTGTACTCAGGTGGTCTGAACAGAGCACTGCCTTATCCGTGAGGGCTTTACTCTGCCCCCCAACTGCTCCTGGTTATTTAAAGTCAGGTGCCCTTTATCTCTGCCTGAGAGGAAAGATGGAATTCATCCTTCTTGCTCTATGTTGTCTAGATAAGGAATCTTGCTTGCCTCCCAAAGAGCTTTGTAACCAAGCTGTTTATGGAGTGAACTTAACTGAGAAAAATAGTAGTCAGCCGAAATGTTTGTCTCCATTTGCAAAATGATCAAACATCTGTCTCAGTCTAACTGAAAAACTAAGTTGCCTGTTATTTGAGGGAGAGTATTGAGTCCTTTCATCCTTGGGTTGAATATCAGTATTCTGTTTCTTAATCTTTCCCACCTTTGTTTCTATTCACCAATTGAAGGATGATCTATGTTCTTCAATAGCCATCACCTTCTCCACCAACCCTCCCATTCTTAGCTATCATTGTTTTTAAGAACCTAGCAGCCATGTTGACTTGATGAATTGAACTCACAATTCTACCCCAGGAACAATTTAATTAGGTTTTTTCATCACAATCTGAAACTCAGAATCACCCATATGCAGCATCCTTCCCTCTGTCTCACTCCCTCTCTATTTCCATTCTTCCATGCTTCCTTACTTTTCTTACTTCCTTCCTCCTAAACGGAAAGTATGTGTTAGGCATGGTGATAGAAACTAAGGTTTTGATAAATAGCAAGTGATATTCCTTGCACCTGACAATCTAATATAGAAAGACTGACAAGGAAATCCGTTGTTGTAATGCAGAAACGAAATCCTGTAATAGGAGCTCAGAAGGTCTAGAAACAATGGAATCTTAGTAAACCAGATCTTGGGGGTGGGGAGCAACTTATATGTAGTGTTTGCCAATTTCCAAGTTGTGAATTATCCTGACCTAGAGGATTTCAAGGTACCTAAATCATGTAGAATTATGTACCTAAAAGAGATATGCACATTTGCTCTAATGAGCTGGTATGAGTCACCTCCGACTCAGTACCGGCTATAAGCGATTAATCTTTCATGGGTGTTAGAAGAAGCTGTCACATTGGAGTTGACATCTGATTTCTTTCTTGAATTATGAGTGGTTATCTGCCAGGCAGATAAGGGGAAATAAAGCATTTCAGGCACAGAACAGCAATGCAAAGGAATGAAGTTGAGACCTTATAGTAGACTAACACAATAGTCAACATAAGACATGATGAAGAGAGTAGAAAAGAAAGGTAAAATTAAAGAGACCTTTTCAAGACAGAATCAACAGGAATTGGTATTCAATACTGTGAGAGGCTATAAAACATATAGATAATGGTTCCTTATACCTCTATCTGGGGAAAATGGGTGAATGTACCACTAAATGAGACAAATCACACAAGGAATTGAAAAGAGACTTGGTAGTGAAACAGAACTAAAATTAAACCAGTAAGTAGCAATTCTGTTGGAGCAATTGTTTATTAATGTGTATTCAGTTGAGAAATTGGGCATGTATTTTATTATGTTAGTAACTGTTTTATGTAAGTTGTCCATGTTTTGAATACCATCTTGGTTAATAGGCCAAATTTGGATTGCTCATTAAGTTGGAGATTTCTATTGAACATCGAGGCAAATATATTTTGATTATATTTGAAAATATTTGATCTAGAGTTTGGGAATGAGGTAAAAATCTTAGTCGAAATTTTTCAACAAATGTGGTTGGAATCATTTTTGTAGATTGTCTGCTTCAAAAAGTATAGATTACTGCCTTATGGACATTGACCTTCCTCACTTTCCAATTTCCACTGCATGTGCTTCTCATCTTCAGCCTCATTAGTTCACCTAGAATCGTTTGAGTTTACCGACCTCAAACTGGATGCCAGGGTCAATTTCAAACCTCAAACTGGATCCTAGGGTCAATATGTTTCTATTTTATTTTTTTCGTTTTAAAATCTCATACCATCTCACATTCTTCCATTCTGAACCTACCAATATTTCTGTCCCACTCTAATACCTACTCCTGTTTTTTCCATTTTGGTCATCCAAGGCTGCTATAAAAATTATCACAGACTAAGTGGCTTAAACAACATTTATTCCTCACAGTTCTGCAGGTTGAGAAGTCCACGATCAAGGTGCCTGAAGATGTGGTTCTGGTTTGAAGATGGCCTTTTTGCAGATGGGTGTTGCTCACAATATAGAGAATGGAGAGAGCAGACACAAGCTCACATGTCTCTCTTTATAAGGGTACTAACCCTATTTACAAGGGCTCTGTCCTCATAACCTAATTGACTCCCAAAGTCATCACCCCCTAATATTATCACATTGGGGGTTACAATTGTAACATAAGGATTCTGAGGGGACACGAATATTCACGTAACACATCGAAATACGTATTCACAAAACTACTCTCTATCTAGTATGTCATCCTAATTTCCTCCTGTCTCGTCCTGCCCCTTCCCAGTCAAATATCATTTTGTTTATTCTGCCTCTTAATTAACCCTCATGCTTACAACATTCCATCCTCCTTAATCCCTGCAGTGAATGCTTTAGCTTCACTCATTATTTCTCACTTTTCCTAGTGTAATATCTTTTAATCAGGACTTTGTGCTAATAATCATACCCCCTCTGTCCTCCACTTTTTTTCACTCTATTCTTTCTAAAAAAACTAATGGGACAATTTTTTTTCACTTGCTTAAAATAATTCTTCACTTTCATTAGAAAATTTGAAATTTTCTGCGTTTACTGTTCCTCATGATCTCACATCTAGCCATGCCACCCACACCATGTATAGACATACTATATGAAATTCTCCTGAGTCATCTCAGCCTGGGCACATTTCACAACCACTGTAAATTTTTTCCCCATTTTTCTTACCAAGCTGGTTAAACTTCACTCATCCATTAAGTTTCTAAGCTTAAGTATTACTTTCCCATATAACAGAATGTATCTCTCTTCCGTAACTTTATACATAATATTCTGATGGTCAATTTACTTTTCTTCCATGTCTCCTAAACTCCTTGATGCCTGTATGTCCTTTTCGTTTCTCCTTACTCATGTTTCTTATAAATACATGATAAATTTACTAATTCAATATAGATAGATTAATAAATATATGTTACTGAACAGAACTAGGAAACACATACATGTGTACATATGAATATAAAATATCCATAAATATATGCAGAATAAGTATATATATATGAGTTTTTAAATTTTTTTCCAAGGGGCAAATAATTTCAAACATGACTAAGCTGCTACATTGCTACATGAAGCTATAAAATTATTTTTCATTATTTGATATCTACTTATGAGTTCATATAATTTTACTTTGGTCTCTCAATGCTGTCCAGCCATCCTTTTATTTCTTTCTTTTATTATAATGGATGTTACAAATATCCTCCACTCTTCTGCAGTCATCAGTTCCACTTTGGAGTCTTTCATTCTCACAAAATAACCTTGATTCCTTCTTTTCTGGAACTGAATTCAAACAATATGATTCTTCATGTTTGGTGTCTCAAACTGCTTCTTCTGTGTCTTTATCCACCTGCTAAACTTTTTTATGTGTGCTCGTCATCTTGTTTACTTCAGACTTCCCTAAAGCCTGGCTCCCACATTTGTCAACATTTTCTCTTATATCTTCATAAGCCCATTTTTATTAGCTATTTCCACACACCTGTGAACAAACTTGACTTTGTTCTCCTAGTAGAGATTTTTTTCCAGTTGGATATATCCTTAAATGATTCTTTCAGCTTTCCTGATTTTCCTGCAATGTATACTTTTTAAAAGAGTTTTCTAAACTATATTCCCCTCTTTCTTCCTTTGACATTGATTTCTCAGTTATTTTGATGCTAGCTTTTATCCCCAGTCTTCTGTGTTAATTTATTTCTTGAGGGTCACACTGTGTGCCTAAAGACAAACTCTGGAAACTTTTATCAGCGGGAATGTTGATTGAACTCTGTGAACCTGGCTCTCTTCAGACTTGCCCTATGTGAACATTTTACCACCTTCCTACTTCCTCACTGCTTCTGTGTCTCATTCTGCAGCTTCTTTTCAAATCCTAACTCCATAAGTACGTCCCAAAATGCTTCTGTTGACCCCCTTTTATGGTAATTTAGCTAAGATTTTTGGATGCTCTATGTCTTTTTGAATATTTAATGTTAGACATTTAACTTTAGCCAATCTAGTGGAGGTGCAGTAAAAATACATGGTGGTTTTGATTTCCATTTCACTGATGACTAATGATGCTGAGTATATTTTCATGCACTTATTTACCAGTTTTATAGAGGAATATGTAAATATTCTTCTTTGAAATGTCTATTCAAGTATTTCCTTCTTGTCTTACTGAGTTGTTTTTCTTTGTTGATACGTTTGAGTACACTACATTCTGAATGGCCGCTTTTGACCGATGTGTATCTTTCTATCTAGAGCTTTGCCTATTCACTTTTAATAGTGTCTTTTGAAAAGATGAAGTTTTAATTTTGAGGAAATCCCATTTATCATTTTTATTTAAATTTCTGATAGTCCTTTTAGTGTCCTGTTAAATAAATATTTTCCTATTTCATTGTTGTAAAGTTAGTTTTATATATTATCTTCTGGAAGTTGAAAATGTTAATAGTTATGTCTATGATCCATCACATATTAATTTTGTAGTTAATTTGAAGTAGAGGTTGAGATTTATTTTTATCTGTATGGATATTCAGTTATTCCAGTACCATATGTTAAAAGATACTATCCTTTTTAAATCATTTGGCATCTTTGTAGATCAAACCACAGTACATGCATAGTTTTATACCTGAACTCCCTATGGTGTTCCATTGATCTGTTTTTATTCTTACATTACTACCAAAACCTATTTTGATTGCTGTCACATTACAGGAATCTTGAAATCAGATAGTTTGAAGCCTCCAAATTTGTGAGTCTTTTTCAGGTTTAATTTGGTAGTTCTAGGTCCTTTACATCTCCATACAGATTTTAGAGGAAACTTGTCAATTTTTTCCGAATGAAAAACCTGGTAGGATTTTGAATGAGATTGAGTTGAATTTTGAAATGAGGAAAAAAGCCCGACATCTTAAAAATATAGACTCCTTCATTGCATTTACATGAATTATCTCTCAACTTATTTCTATCTACTTTGTTTTTTCAGCAATGTTTTTTCTCCAGTGTATAGCTCCTGCATATCTTCTATTACAATTATTCCTAAATATTCATGTTTTCTAAGTGACAACATACATTTCAATTTACTATTCCAATTCTAAATACTAGTCTACAGAGATAAATTTATATCGATTGGTGACTTTGTTTTCTGTGACTTTACTGAATTTACTTAAGTTGTAATATAATGTTTTTCAATTATGTAATTGTATCAGAAAAATATATTTTTACTTGTTTTATTCCTACCTGTATACTTTTTGTCTTGCTAAAGATAAACCTTTCACATAATGTTAACAAGATATGATAAAAGTAGACATCCTTGCTTCATCTCCAATCATATAAAAATTCCGTATTTTACCATTAAATATTTATTACCTCTAAGAACTTTTATATTCCTGCCTTATAAGTTTGAGGAAATTTTTTAATTTCTAGTTTGCAGAGATTCTTTATTATAAATGTATTGACATTGTGAAATGCCTTTTCTACATTATTGATTATATTTTTATGTAGCTTATATTTTATTAATGTGAATTATGCTTATTTAATTATAAATGTAAACACAATCTTGCATTCTTGGGATAAACTTTGCTTGTGATTTCTTTTTCATTTGTATATGTTTCTTTTGATTTGTTACTATTTTGGTAAGAATTCTGCATGTGTATTCATGATGAATATTAATTTGTATTTTTATTTTCTTGTGATCTTGTCTAGTTTTGGTATTAGAATTATTCAATTATTCTGTCCTTATAAAATGTGTAAGAAATTCTCCCTTTTATTCTATTTTCTGGTTGGGAAACAGTATTGACATTATTTCTTCTTCAAATGTTTACTACAAAATTCTGGTGAAGCTACCTGTGCCCGGAAATGTAACTGTGGGAAGCTTTTTGAATACAAACTCATTTTCTTTAATAAGTATCACACTATTTAGATTGCATATTTTCTGTATCAATTTTGAAATTAAGAGTTAGAGAGTATATCCGAGTTTCCCAAATCGTTGCAGCTGACAAAACACAATGAAATTTTAAGATGAGCAAAAATTGGGCATTTTGCAAATGAAGATAATATTAAGATGTGTTGACAGGGCATAGTGGCTCATACCTGTAATCCCAGCACTTTGGGAGGCCGAGGAGGGCAGATCACAAGATCAGGAGTTCGAGACCAGCCTGGCCAATATGGTGAAACCCTGTCTCTACTAAAAATACAAAAATTAGCCAGGCGTGGTGGCATGCACCTGTAATCCAAGCTACTCAGGAGGCTGAGGCAGGAGAATCACTTGAACCTGGGAGGCGGAGGTTGCAGTGAGCCGACATTATGCCACTGCACTCCAGCCTGGGCGATAGAGCAAGACTCCATCTCAAAAAAAAAAAAAAAAAAAAAAAAGGTGTTTATTTGGAAAGACTTTATTATGACAGCCAGCGAGAAGCGAATACAGAGTGAAATGTGAAACTCCCCAGAGGTATTACAGATAATCACTGATGGGCTGCCCACTTTGAACTCACCTTAATGTAGATGTCAAGAAGCATCCAAGCTGCCTGTTGAGGCTTCAGCTGAGGCTGACTTTCCCACCAGGCTAACCTGCAAGTGAGCACATGCATATGGTTGAGACCCAGTCAAATAACAGACAGTTAAAGAGCAGAGAAGTGAAAAGAGAGGTCTAATGCACATGATCCTCTTTCAGTAACCAAAGTGCTTGACCAAATGATGTCACCTTACTTGTGTTTGTCAACACCTCTTTTGGCAAGAAGTCACTCTCCAACTGCTAACATCATTTGACAGCAGCCCCTAATTATTTTTCTATGTTTATTTATCCTTGAAAAACAAATTTCACATGTAATGCAGACACGATTATTAGCAATAATTTGGAAGATACAACAAAGAAAAAACAAAATGAAACTTCAAAAGCGTACTTTTAGAGTTAAACCTAGAATATTTACTTAATAAAATAATGTACATAATTTATAATTACTATTACACTATATTTATATCGTATATTTATTTATATTTAATAAGTTATGAACTTTTAAAATTCAATAAATACTTTCTTTTAAATATCTAAATAGTGCAATTTGATGCCATCTTGGAGCTACACTAGAATTTGTTCAGCCATTACTTGCTTTGATTTTGAGTTACACAAAATATTTGTTTATGATTCTGTGGTAGATTTTTTGAGTCTTTGAACATATTCCAATAAATGGAAATAATAAGTTAAATGATATAGATTTTGTTAAGCCTATTGACAAAATATTTTTAATTTATTTTTAGAGAGCAGTAAGAACATTTAAATTCCCATCATGAGTATATGAAAATGCCAATTCTGTTGCACAGTTGCAAGCAATTTTTTTAATCCTTGAGTATTTGCTAGATAAAATATTTCATTTATTCATTTTAATGTCTTTAACACAAAACTTAACATTTTGACATATATTTTTCGGTCACATATACTTTTTTCTGTAAATCTCATTATTCTTTATTCCTACTTACCTATCAGGGTTTTAGTATAAATCTTGATGAAATATAAGTCCTGTACAGAATAATATTAAATTTTGTCTGTAATATTTTGGCAAAGATTCTCCTTAGCTTTAGTAGCCTTTTAATTTAGTTTATGTATTTTGAAATGGATGAGATTTTTACTGTTTTATGCAGTTAAATTTTTTAAAATTTTCTTCTGGCTTATTTAATTGCATGTAATTTTAGAAATCCCTGTTAGTATTTACAAAAATATTCATTTACATGTCTGTGAATGTTTTGTAGTTTAGTGAATAAAATTTAAATCAGCTGGAATTGATTTTAACTATCTTTTTTTTTTTTTTTTTTTTTTTTGAGACAGAGTCTCACTCTGTCATCCTAGGCTGGAGTGCAGTGGTGCGATCTGGGCTCACTGCAAGCTCTGCCTCCTGGGTTCAAGCCATTCTCCTGCCTCAGCCTCCCGTGTAGCTGGGACTACAGGCACCCGCCACCACGCCTGGCTAATTTTTTGTGTTTTTAGTAGAGACAGGGTTTCACTGTGTTAGCCAGGATGGTCTCGATCTCCTGACCTCATGATCCGCCCGTCTTGGCCTCCCAAAGTGCTGGGGTTACAGGCGTGAGCCACCACGCCTGGCCGATTTTACTATCTTAAGCCCTGCTATGAAGTGATTCACCTTTTCATCTCTGCTCCCTCTTCTAAAGAAGCCAACCTTGCAGAAGGTAATGAAGTTGGTCAGTGTAGCTTGCATTCCTTCTTTTATTACTCCAAAAATACTAGTTGTATGAGTTGGGCTATGTTAAACCCAGTTATTGGAACTTCTGGGCACTCATTTCCAGCTCTTAAACAGAGAACTCCTATTAGTTACTATGCATACTTCTACAGTACAGGATAAATAAAGTAAGCATGTTATGGGGTGTCAGAGACAAGGGAAGGAAAGAAAAAGGCAACAGTAGTGAGGGAATCATAGAAAATTTGTTTTCAAACCACTAGAAACAAAAGAAATAATTAAAATAAACACTCCTTTAGGCATCAAAAGATGCCTTTTGAGCTTTGAGCTTCTTTCGTAGAATGCTTACTGTATTTCCCAAAAATGCACGATATGCAACCTAAATATCATCATTATGAAATTGTCATCAAATGAAGAACATGGGCTATTTAGTAGGATGACTGACCCAGAGTCATCAAAAGATTCAATATCATGAGAAATATGGTCTAGTCTGCACTGGGTGGGAAGATGAATGAGACGTAACAGCCAAAGTAATTTTATGAATTTTTAGTGAAGCCTGCATTTAAAAAGAAACAATGAGAACGCTTTTTCAGATAATTGGAGATGAAAAATGGATATGCTATTTTAAAAATTAGTTGAATGAATGCTTATGTTTTCATGTATATCAGTGGTGGTGTGGTTTATTAGGCAAATATCCTTGATATTGGGAAATGGATTCTCCAGTGTTCTTAGAATTAAGAAGCACATTTGGGAGTGTTACTATGGATGCACTCTACCTTCAAATGGTTTGGTAAATGGATTGTGTGTGTGTGTGTGTGTGTGTATGTAGGGTATGCGTGTTTACATATGTGTAAGGAAAGAAAGAGCAGTTAGTGAATATGAGTGTTTATTTTAGCCATTTTTTGTTTCCATTAATTTGAAAAGTTTCTGAATACATTAAATGCATACATACATACATACATACATACATACATACATACATACAGGTAATAGTTCCTACTTCATAGACTTATTATGAGTACTAAATGTGCTGTTTCATGTAAAGAGCTGACTACTACTATGATAAATTATTACTATTTAATGCATGTTAAGTAATAGTCACAGAGAATCTTGGGATGAGAATATTGAGAATACATTTTCCAGTATTAAAAATAATAATAATAATAATAAATGTGCAATTATTGAGGTATTTGCATTCCTTCTTTTATTACTCCAAATATATTAGTTGTGCTTTTCCTATATTCCTGTGTTTTCTCAAGCAGTCCTGACATCTGGTGTCCCAGCATATGCTTCAATGCTTCAAACAAGAGTAACTTACTACCTTTTATTTTCGTCCCCTTTGGACGAACACATGTTTCATGCCATTTTAAGTCCCCTTTATTTAATGAAGTTCTTTAGAGCATCTTGATCCCAATTGAGATTTTTTTTCCTGAATTCCTACAAATTGACTTATTGCTTCTATTACTGCTCTGGGAATTCAGATGTAGATGTGCAACTCTTGTTTTCTTTGCCTCTTACTCTAAAATGCTTGACAGCCTACAGTGTCCATTTCTAGTATGAGGCCAAATACAGTTTTGGAGAATAAAGAAAATAACAGCTTAAGAAAAGAAGAATATTCTATATTATGGCTGGAGCTAATCTTTCAGATGGTGCCTAATTCTGAAAGTTGAGTTTTCCCAGAAGTCTGAAACTTAAAGTAAGAAAAATCACATGCCTTTGAAGATTTCTTCAATTGTACTATACAACCCAAGTACAAAGAAGAACTGGATTTCTCTGTGCATATTAATTCTAACATTAACTGCCTACTTCCTAAATGCAAAGAATTTTCTGTAATAAAAACTGGACCCACATTAGGATTAAGGCAGATAAGATTTCCTCAAATACAATACAAATCATAATCCCTTCAATTTAACTTTCTACTGTCATGGGATTTTCAAAGAAGGAAATTTAATTTTTCTTGAGTCAAATGTATTAATAATAAAAACAAAGTCCAATGACAGTGTTAGCAAAAAATAAGAAATGTATGTAAAGCCCTTCTATATTTGAATTAAATGCCTGAATTGGGCAGCATTAACTCCTAGACATTAAATATGATGTGGGTGATAAGAAATATTTCAGGCAAAAGAAAATATTTGCTTATTGAGCTAAAATGATGAATGGATCTATGTTATGAAAATAGACCACAGGTTTATTATCGGAAAGATTGTCTTTCCAGTTATTGGTAGAATGCAGATGTACATTAACAATGGTCTAGGAAAGTCAGATACGTTTAGTATGTGTTACCTACTGCAAGACAAATAAAGGCTATGATATATAGTGGACATATTTTTTTAATTATCTTTGCTCCTTCACATTCTGAATCCTCCAATATTCTATCTGGCTTATTTTTATTCAGTTCCAAGCTGGGCCTCTTCAATGAGATTATTCCAAATTCTTGGCTATAGTATTTCATTCAGAGTTTGGCGTAGATGAGTCAGTCCATTGAGAGTTGTCTCTGAGACCTTATTACTCAGATGGTTGAATTAACTAGGATAGATAGGATACACTGCAGCCAGAAGTAAACACTGGCATTTTACTACCTTAAAACATATAAACATATTTATAGGTCAAGGGAAGTCCAGTTTGGGTTGGGTCACACTCCTGCTTATAAGTTGGTCACATAAAATATATGGCTTCTAAAGTCACTGCACCTGAGAGTGAAAGAATTGGAAGACTTAGAAATAAATATTTTTAAGAGCCAGGACTATTTGTGACTTAGACCATTTCTTCCTACCACTCATTGACTAGAGGTCAATCATTTGACTTCAACAATGTGAAAATAAGGCTAAATAAACGAGTCTTCCTGTTTGTCCAGGAGGAAGAATAGGATGGCGAAAATGTCTCTGCGTTAGTCTTCTTTCTATAGACGTTAATAGTCCCATAAACTATGAGCCTTGAGTAATTGGTGTCCATTTCTTTTACACTCAATATTTTAAAAAGAACTTTATTAGAATTAAATCAGACAGAGGCATTTTACCAATTATTTCAGGCAGGTATCTGGATGGAGACTCACATATGACCTCATAAAAGTTTTTCTCCTTTTCTTAAGTACTGTTTGAGTTGAATTTCTCCATTTTAAAACCAAGAGTCATCACTAATTTAGACCTTTTAGACTACCCAGCCCAATGCTTTATAAAATTAACACCGTTAATCAGTTAATCAATTGGTGCATCAATTGGAAAGAATTTATTTTTCATGTCCTTAACATTATAGTGCAACTGGTAAACATCTAATCATCTGTCAAACTTTGTTCCAGTGTCACTGCTTAATGAAGTGTCTTCATCCCATTCTGCACACAGCTCCATTAATTCACTTAATTCTCATGGGCAGCATGGCATAAAATATAAAACCATAAACACGGAAATTAGAATCACTAGGTTTAAATCCTGGCCTGCCAATTACCAGCTTTGTAACGTTGGACATTATGTATAATCTCTTTTTTCCTCAGATTCCCCAACTGCAAAATGGGGATAAAATTATTAAGTTATCTTAAAAAATAGAAGAGTTAATAAACAGAAAAAAGTAGAACAGTGACAGTCATTAGGCAAGGTTAGATATTTTATTGCTATTGTTATTTTTACTAGACTGTGAACTCAAAAACAAATGTAGTGATTATTTACTATTTTTTCTTCAATACCCAGAGCATGCTTAGTACGCAGTGAGCACTCACTAAATATTAGTTGACTGTGTTGCACTAGTAATAATAGTAATAATTATAATAACACCTGGCATTATTAAGCACCTAGGATGTGCTAAGCATGGTTCTAAGTGCTTTTCATACATTAACTTATATAATGAGTAAGTTGAGAAAATAGTCTATCACTGAGGATAATTAATACTTGCTATTATTATTTAAAATACTGAAGAATTTCAATGGTTTAAAAAAGAAGAGTTTATTACTCATTGGGACAAAATTTAACTTGGATGTTGCTAGTTTCAGAGATCTCCTGGGTAGAACTTCCAAAAGTACTCACTCAGGGTTCCAGATTTTCTTCTTCCTACTGCACATTCTTTATAAGGCCTTCTGAAGTTACCTGGAAAAGAACAGAGGAAAGAACCATAAAATGAAGGTGCTTTATTGTTTAATTAGAAACAGGGCTAGAAATATGTCTCTTCCTTCCACACCTGTTCTATTGGCCAAAACTTGACACAAGATTGTGCAAAATAAAAAGAAAAGAAAATGCTTCCTTTGTGATCATGAGTGAAATTAAGTCACCCGGTAAAAAGTGAATTTTAAAGACCTAGTGAGGGTAGTTAAGATTAAAATCCAAAACAAATGAAAACTAAAGACTGCTATCATTGGAAAGCTCCACTGAAGAAACAATTAAAAGTGGCCTTGCAGGTTGCAGACTAAGAAAAAGTAGGATTGGTGGAATGAAAGGAGAAAGCACTCCAGGTGAGAAGACTAGCACAGCTAAAGGTGTGGAGAGAAGACTCTACAGGAACAACTCCTGTTAGACAGCTGAGCACTATGAAAAAACTCAGACTCAGCACATATAACACCAGCAACAAACACAGGTCATTAAAAGAATGTAGAAATGAATGCATGCATCCTTCTTTCTAGAAAACTTTGACATGTAAATAAGACTATTGCTGGTTGGAGACTGGGATTTACTCCAGTGCACCGGGTTATCAGATAAACAGGTTCTTTATACTTGAATTCAGTCCTTCTTCAAACTCCTACATCCACATAAGATGGCTGACTAATCTTGTTTAGAATGGTGTTGTTGGCAACGTTTTCTGACAGTTTCAACCTGTTGCATTGTACTCTGAATCCTGGTTGTTTTTGCACAATTTAGTCTTGCCTCCTTACCTAGACTATATACCATTCAAAAATAGAGACTTGAATAAATTCAAAGTCCTAAGCACAGTGTAGTGGACATAATAGTCGTTTACATAACATTGATTTATCTCTCGAGTCACGAGATGTTGTGTAGATACCTGGCACTGCAGTTTTGTGCTCTGCACACAGGCTTCTAAACAGGAGCACACCAAAGTCCACACATCTTACCTAGATTTTTTACCTTTTCATCTTTTCTATTAGCCAGTGAAGGAACAAAAGGCTAAATTATTATATTCTGAGTCATGGAGCTCTCTTGGTCTCCGTAGTCCATTTTGTAAGGGATGAGGCAGAACTGAACATTAATTAGTAAATGATTGATATCCACCCTGCCCTGTGCATGCAACCACCAGTGACCTATATTTTGTTGAATATGTGGTATTCTGATACATTAAGATACATTATTCTTTCACTCCTTCTGACACATTTTCAGGTTGGATGCCATGTTGTCTTGTGTGGGTGCCCAAGCTTGGCTTAAAATTCTAGTGCTTTCTCTCTTCCAAGGGCTGAGGCATTTGGAGAAGGTGTAATGCTTCCTGGGAATGCATCTGCCAAGTGTTGGAAGTTAAATAAGCAGAGAAATTTA
The DNA here is from genome assembly GCF_000001405.40 of Homo sapiens. Lineage (NCBI taxonomy): Eukaryota > Metazoa > Chordata > Mammalia > Primates > Hominidae > Homo > Homo sapiens. The sequence goes on along the minus strand of NC_000010.11, from coordinate 107,706,241 downwards.
AATGACATGTCATGTAAAACCCAATTCAAATCCAACTGGGGTGTCTCCAAGAAGCATCTTTAAATATAAATTTCTAATCTATGTTAAAATTACATCTTAAATTAAATGCTTATGGAGATGAATGGATTGCTCTATGAGTCAAAATCATTTACATGGACTGTTTCATGCTTAATCTGAAACATGTTTTCTCTAAGGTTCAAATGGGTAGGTAGAGTCTTCTACTCTTCAGACAATTACATCTTTAGGCTTCTGTATTTTTCTTAAATCAAAATCTATATTGCCTCAAGTGGGCAAATGATGTGTCCAGCTGAAGGCATCTGAATTGAGTTTAGGGTTCTGGTGATAAAAATATGAGATGCAGGCCTGGTGCGGTGGCTCACACCTGTAATCTCAGCACTTTGGAGGCCGAGGCAGTCAGATCACGAGGTCAGGAGTTCGAGACAAGCCTGACTGACATGGTGAAACCCCCGTCTCTACTAAAAATACAAAAAAAAATATTAGCCAGGTGTGGTGGCACGTGCCCGTAATGCCAGCTATTCGGGAGGCTGAGGCAGGAGAATCGTTTGAACCCAGGAGGTGGAGGTTGCAGTGAGCCGCGGTCACACCACTGCACTCCAGCCTGGGCAACAGAGTGAGACTCTGTCTTAAAATACATGTGTGTATATATATATATGAGATGCAGACTGTGCATGTGATTTGTCTTCACTTATGCAGAGTAAAAACATGGTGGCTAAATAAGGTACCTTTGTGGTTTCAAGAAAAAAGATTTGACTATTAGCTTAAGTAGGTGGGACTGAAGAGAAGCCTATAAATAAATATAGGGGCTATTGTAGTGGTCAGGTAACCCTATTGTATTTATTATCTTCTTTGCATTAAAGTAGATGACTGAAGAATTAGGCTAATGGAGACATTGAGCAATGGATGAGGAGAAATGGCAGGATAAGTTCAGGATTAGAATAAATATTTTTCAAGGAAAAAGAGAAACCAGTTAGGGGGTTGCCACAGCTGGCCTCTCTCAAGCTCGCTCTCTCTCTTTTCCCCTCTTTTTTTATCTCTACCTTTGGTTAAAACAAAATAAGTAGAAAACCATTAGCCTGGGGTTGTTTCTGTACCCACAGTTCTTACACAAATAAACTGATATTTAACTTAAAGGCATTCCTTATAATGCATTGATTTTGAAAAAATGAACAAATGAATTAAACTGAGCTTCAGCCATTCACAAACAGCTATTAGTTATATTACTAGAGGCTTTCCACTGGACCATACACAAATAAAGCAAATGTCTCACTTTAGTCAATCAAGTGATGTTCATACTTTGATTCTGCATTCAGTCTATAAAAGCCTGCTGCTCAAGCTGCTAAAGTGGAGCTCTCTGAACCTTTTCTGGTTTTGAGTGTTGCCCGATTCATGAACCTTTCAATGCTCAAGTGAACCCTGTTACATTTATTTTGTCTACAGGTTTTCTTTTAACACGTATATATTTTTTAGCATATATGGCTTCCTTTAGCTCATGACCATTTCATAGTCCAAACATGTGTGAACAGAGTAGCAGTTACTTTCATTCACTCAATACATGCAAACAGAATAAGCCTTTGCTGCCTAGTCAGAAAGACACATGTCAGGACTGCTTTGCTGAGGCAACAAGTTCTCCACTGCTGTAATTCAACTATACTCAAGGCTGAGTATCACTGAGGAGGATGAACAAATATGTAGAGTTTAACAGAGATTTAATATATAATAGATAAATAGATAGATAAATGATAAATAGTGCTGCTGGAGATGATTATGGCTATAATCAGAATGATAATGATAATGACAGTGATCATTCACTCTCGTATTTTACTTTCTCTCTTTCAGGCTCTGTTTTAACTAAATGACACGCTTTCGCTTATTGAACTTTCATAACCCTATGAAATTGATACTATTATCATCTTGTATTTTACAGAGAGAAAATTAAGCCAAAAATAGGTTAAATAATTTATTTTAATGCACAGTAGGCATCAAAAAAGAGCAATAATATTAAAAACAACGAGCAAAAACAACAACAGCAACAACGAAAACAGCCCAAAACATGCAATAAACAAGGCTCAAGGAAAATAGCATCTGCAAGCCATATTAATATCTGTGGTGTTTCCCCCAAAAGTAGTACAGATCTTCTCAGTGAATCTTTTTTTGGAAGACTGAGTATTTGTAACCCATATCTAGCAGAGGGATGAAGATCCCAGTACCTTTGGTGATGATGCCAGAATGTGACTACTCTTGAGTTTTCCTCAGTGGTATTTACCTATCAATATAGAATATAATTCTCACTAAATTCAAAATTAAGGATATTATGAGTTGAAGGATTATGTTTACTGATAAATGTGTCATTTAAATCTTAGTTATCATGCATGGATGGCTTAGACACTCATCTCTAACACCTTGTTCCATTTTTAATTTACTCATTTGATAATCCTGCAGTAAAGACTACATGCAGGCATTTAGAGAAGTTAGACTTTTTCTAGCTTGTATCTGGTTTCTACTCCAAGACCACAAGAGACAGACTCCCAAGAAGCAACACTCTTCAGGTTTCTGATTCCTCCAAAGTATAATTCATATACACACACACACACACACACACACACACACACACACAAATTACTATATATATCAATTTATATATATTGTACTTACTCTATATTATATTATCAACATATCGACTTTCCTTCAAATTGTTGTTCCTGTAGATTAGAACATTAGAGGTAAGGCTTGATCTTACAACTACAAATCTATCACCTTGACATTAATTTAGATTACATGTCAATATGAGATTTGGCAAGAATGGTGCCATCCAATAAATCTAATGAGAAGCATTACATTTTTCTCAATATACTAGCATTGTCAATTAGGTTTGATTGAAAAATGAGTTGTTCTCACTGGCACTAGAAGCAGTAGATCCCAAGTATTCATACATCAATAAATAGCTAATAACAGGCATTGTGTAGCTCATTAAATAATCATAACAGTTATTCTTCCTTAATAGGACTGGAGTGCCTTGTATCCTGCAGCTGAGTAAATCACTGCACTTGATGGTTTCCTGTTTTATTCTAAAAAGCAAAGACTGTAAATAACGTGAGCTGTTAGCTGTCATACAACTCATATCATTAGTAGCAGGAATACTTATAGAACCCTAAGCAAACATAATATGACAGAAAAAAGATGAAGAGAAGATACCAAAGACAAGGGTAGTGGAAAAATAATAACAGAAAATAGCAAGTAATATGCTAGATAAAATATAATAATAAACAACCTGTTTGCATAAGCATACTTACAAACAAACAATGTGTTAAGGCCAGGCCACTCACTCATACTTGGTTGGATGTTTTGGTGGAAAAAATATGTCCTGAGTTCCACTATTGTAAATTGAAATTCGGTTGCTTTGCTGATGTAAAAAAAAAAAAAAAAAAAAAAAAAAAAAAAAATTTGTTTATCCCAGAATAAGAATAACATATTAAGTTCAGTATGAATAGTTTTATGAAATTGTATTCAGGTATAAGTGTTACTCAGCTGCTTATAACAAAGTATGGAAATATCATTAGCCTTAAGAAGATGGAAGTTAAGTGCCAGTAGCACAGACTCACATTTATTGGAAATTCAGTCTTCTGGTATTTTTCTTTTCTGCCATTCACCTCACATATCTTGCATTTCAAATGTGCCTCAGGATTCAAGATGATTTTTAAAATGAAGGGAATCATGCCCATGTTCTAGACAGCATAAAAAAGTAGGACAAAATGTACTGACTCAACTCTTGGAAAAAGCTTTTCTGTAAATTATACAAATATCTTCTATTTACATTTCATTAGTCAAAACACACAGCTTTCAGTAAGCTGGGAAATACAGTAGTAAAATAGGCATATGACTATATTTAATAAAATTAGTAACAAAATATTCTTTTCTAACAATGGTTTAATTCTTTGCTTGTGACTAATATGCTCTCTTATAATTACTAAATAATTTGAAGAAAATTATAAATAGATGAAAGAGAAAGAGAGAAAACATTGGAATGTATTGAAGGACCTGCTAAGTGAGGAGTTATGTGGTTGAGATCTACAGGATGAGAAAATGCCATGATGTCATGGATTTGAAACTGCTACATTCCAGTTCCTAAGTCAGTGGCTGAGAAGCTGAATAAAACTTTTGATGCTTTTGTAGGGATGATTTGATACCAAAAGGAAAAGCCCTGATAAATACCTCAGCTTTTGGTTGTGACTGCAATAATGATACATCCATGGAGAAAGGAGCAGAGGAAATAGACAAGTCCTTAAATAAAATAAAGTCCACCTTTAAATCATCTCAATCCCTAGTAGAGATTAAAATGACCTGGAATTTATAGTTCTGCGAGCATAACTACTTTTTAAAAAACATAAGTAAATTCTCTATGGAGGGAGATGGTTATAGTAAATGCCTTGTATTATCTCTATAGGTTTTCACCCTTAATGTCTGGATATTAACAGATAAAACAACCAGTAAGAAACCCATATGAGAGCACAAAGTACGAAGAAAAGTATGAGGGAAAAAAGTGACAGATAAAAGAGGCAGATCAACAGAGACTCCAACAATAGGCTAATTAGACTTATGATGTTTTAAAAAGAAAACCAACTTTAATGTGTTTATGAAATTATAAATAGTATTGTAAATTTCAGCTGACAGCAAAAACTACAAGTAAAATAAAATAGAAATAGAAATGAAACAAAATTATCAAAATCAAAATCAGTAAATAGATATGCTAACAGATTAGACACAGACCAAGAGAGACCTGGTGATCTGGAAGCTAGAAAAGCTGAAAGCACACTTCCTTCTAGTGACCTGGAAGACAGACTAAGCATAAAACACACAGGTAGATGCACATCATGAGAAAATTATAAAACTGCAAAACAGGAGCATAAAGCACATATGGGATTTATTGTAAAGTTCTAGTTTGCATGGAATTGAAATCCAGAGAGGTGAGGGGAGAGGGAAGGGAGAAGAGATAGTGGTAGTAAATTTTCCCCAAATAGACATAAGTCATTAAGGCTCATATCCAATAATAATACATTGAAGTAGGAAAAATGCTCAAAAAATCCCCAAAAGATCACCATGATTAAAGTCCAAAAGAAAGAAAACTTTACAAATAGACATAGAAAATCTGTATTACCTTCAAATGAGCCACAATGAGAGCTGCAGAAGAGAGGAAGCAGGTGAATGATGTCTTTAATTAGTGAAAGAGATATGAATACTAATCTTAAATTGTCTATCTGAAAAAATGCAAAAGAAAAAATATATATTCCTTTAAAAAGCCAAAAATATTTTTAGTCAAACTCAGAGAAATTTTATTAGCAGCATATGTAAGCTAAAATCAAACCAAACAGCAAAAACAGTGATGACAACATCAAAAAATCACCAGATAAGTATTCTTTCAGCAGAATAAAAAAGAGCCTAGGAGAAAGATGGAATGTGCATGAAGGAAAGTACAGTTAGATGAAAGTTATATAAATGAATCTAAATAAATATTGACAGTAACCACAAAAAAGAATATGTTGTGAGCTTTAAAATATCTACAAAATTAAAGTATGTAACAATAGTAATACTAAAGTCAGAAGAGAAATAGTGTTAAAGTGTTTGACACATTTTGAATTGTCTGGAAGTCAATAAAGTATTAACTTATATTCATTGGAATCATTATGCAATCTCTAGCATACCAGTAAAACTGTAAAATAATTTATAATATGTTAATACAGGGCAAAGTTAATGATAAAAACAACAAGAATAAAAATTATACCTCTTTCAGATTTTCCAGATCTGAATGTCTGCTTTAGGAGCAAAGTATTTGCTCCTGGTGCAAGGCCTTTGGGCAATTCCAACTAGAAAGAAAATGCAAATAAAGTTTATCAGAGACTTATAATACTAGATATTCTAGATACAGAGTCAGAGTGAAAAACGGGCAGAAAGAGAAGTTGTCAGAAGAGTTGCTGCTGGGAATCCTGCTAGTCATGTGTCCTGGTCAAACCTGTTGAATTATGGCCATAGACATAGATCCAAAGCTGACACCCTCTGCCTTGAAAGTTTCTTAAGTTTTCCTGGCCAAAGGAGTCCTAGCTGTATTGTGCGGAGCATGTAGAACATGAGATGAAATTTCAATTTTGTTCTAAATGTCAGGGGAAGTTACTGAGATTTCATTTAAAAGATCACAGTCTGTTGTGTAGAGGATGGATTTAGTGAACATGATTGAAAGCAAGGTGACCAGACAGGCATCTGTAGCAGTGGTCTGAGGGACAGCACCTATCCACTCCTGGGGAATCATTTTGGATAGAACTAGTGGATTTAAGTGACTCTGACTTCACAACTGCATTAGATATAACCCCATCCTCCCACCTCACCCACAGCCCAGACTGCATTAATTAACAATCCCCTCTTCTAATTAGCTTGGGGTAATTATTTTCCCTGTGAAAGTTGGTTTTGGGAAAACATTCCTCCTTTTCTTTTCTCTTAAGAAGAGAGGAAGCTGAAAATCAAACGTTATTGTTTATGGCCAAAAGTAATATGAAAGACAGTGAAAATCTTTCAGCTCTAAAAGTAATTACCTAAAATCAAAGGCATGAAAATGATGGCTGGCTCTTACAAGTGTGTTTTAGGTCATGTAAATCATGTTAAAAGTTGCAATTAGAAATAGATTTGTCCCCCTGGGAGAGCTACATGCAATTTTCAGCTGCAGAAATTTACTTCTCTTAGGCTCCAGGCAACCATCCCTCCAAACTGTAATCTGTTCTTCTATATTACATGTAAGAATCGTTGCCGAGGTCAATGTCTTGGTGGTATTAAATCGTTTCTTATGCCTGACACGTGTCTTCTGTTAAGAATATTAGGCTGAAATAGTTTAATGGCAGATATTATGGAACAAATTCTGCACCTTGTTTCTGATTGCTGGAAAATTGGTGGCTCTCATCCATCAAAAATTATTTTCTAACCTAATTTTTTCTTCAACTCTACTGTAGGGCTTTTAAGATTATTTTAAGAAGCATCTTTGCTGCTACATTTATCATGGGATGTGAAAGGACAAAGTTTTAACATCTTTTGTCTGGAGTCCTGGGTCATTTTTTATTGCAAGCCTTTGGGTTATATTTTGTTAGGGAAGTAAATTCTAGAGCAACTTTGAACAACCTCTAAGAATCATTTCAGTTTTAGGATGGAGAAAGGCCTTTGCCGTAGTCTTATTTTACAGCTTCTTATGTGTCCATCTGCAAAACTCAGTAAAGTACTTTGTGAGTATAATATGCCTTCATCCAGTTATTAATAAATACGCACCAGCATCTATGTTCAGGCACTGTGTTAGGTTCCAGGCATACAATAATCCACTAAACAGACAGGATTCTTGCTCATAAGGAGCGTTCAGTTTTGTGTAAGCAAAGGGCCATTCATCCAAGCTCCCTTACTCTAGTGGGCCCCTGATAAGATGTAGAGCAAGTGCCTAGGTCTGCACGGAAAATTTTATTTTATGTTGAATGTGAAAGTCTGATGTTTCCTCTGAAGCTTTGGGCTTGCACACATATTGCCTGCGGGCCTGGTGTCAAGATTGTCTGTAAGACATTGGAATCTACATGAACTTTAATATTTTCTAAAATTGTGGTCTGTGGATTTTTATTTTGAGATTTTACTCCCCGTCAGACATTTTAGCATGTGTGTACATGCACACATGTATGTTACCTGTGTTTTTGTGTCTTTGCAGTGTCTCCTCAAAGCAGATTGGTGTGACTGATTTGCAAATGAGGAAATTAAGACTGAACATTCACTTGCCCTTGGCCAAAAAACTGGCAACTGGTAGACCTAGGATTCAGGCTCAGGACTGTCTGCTTTAGCAGCCTGCATCCTGTGCCTGCCCCTACTCCAGCATATTCCCATCTTTTTGGTTTGTACTCCTTTCAGCCCCCTTCCACTTAATCTTGTAGAACAGAGCAGTTCTTACCAGTTTTTCATTTTCATACTAAAAATTATTGGTGCTTTAACTTGTTGGTGCCTCAAGTTACTTTCTGGATTGTGTCTTTTTCCTTAAGAAAAAAAATGAATGGGAAATTAAACTAAGGGCAGATACTCAACTTAGACTGTATATGTGGCTACTTGTATGTATATAATACTTGAAACTGTTCAAACTACAGGATGAAAATACACAAGCCCCAAAATTGAAAATTCAAACATTGTGCTATGAACTAAATTATGTGCCCTCAAAATTCATAGTTGAAGCCATAACCCCTAATATGACTGGTTTAGAAGATAAGACCTTTAAAGAGATACTTAAGATTAAATGAGGGTCATAAGTGTGGGACACTGATGGGATTGATGTACCTATAAGAAAAAGGGAGAAACCCTAGGGAACTCACATACAAAGAGCCATCTGAGGCACAGTGAAAAGTGAGTATCTCCAAGTCAAAGAGAGAGATCTCATGAGAAATTGGACTTAACAATGTCTTTGATCTTTGGCTTTTAGCTTTCAAAACTCTGGAAAAATACATTTTTGTTGTTTACTCAGTCTTTGGTATTTTTTTATGACAGTCCTATCAGATTAATACACATGGTAACATTAAAAGAGGAAGGGAGGAGGAAATGGAGGAGGGAGAAGAAAAGGAGAGGAGAAGGGAAGAAAGGATAAGAGGGAGGAAGAGTGAGAAACAAAAGAAAGCAAGAAGGAAGGGAAGGGGAGGGGAGGGAAGGGGGGAGGAGGAAGAAAAAGAAGGAAGGAAAGAAAGAAAAAAGAAAAAAAGAAGAAAGGGAGGGAAGAAAATAAGGAAGGAAGGAGGAAAGAAAGAAGGAAAGGAAAGATTAGGGGAAAGAAAGTAAAGAAAAATAAAAGAAAAAATAACTGCCCATTAGAAAGATTTTAGAGGGAAGACAGAAGAGATTTTTTTTAAAGTTCTAAAGGTAGGAAATAAGTGGACAAAATAAAGAGACAATGTCTTGAAAAGCAGCCCAGTGGCTTTACAATAACTATTGGTAAAATTCTCTTTTTTGCAACATTAATTAATGTCCTATTCTATGGGTCATTCAGTGAGTTAAGGTTCTTCCCTCAGATCAGGCACTCTACCTGGGCTTCAGATACACCCACTTCCCTCCCAATGCAACTGCCAAGAGATTGTCATACCCTAGATAGCTAAGTTGTGCTTCCTCCCCGATCATGAGAGGGAACACATGTCTGGCCCTCAACAGTGGAAATGACAGAATAACTTCCTTCTCTGTGTTGAGTATAAGGGCCTTGTGGGGCTGAACATTCCCTGTCTAGTTATCTGATAGACACTCTCCCCCACAGAGGAGAAATCTCTCTTTCACTTGAACAACACTCAGCAGAATTTCATTATAATCTTTGTGAGGCCCTGGGATGCTTCTCTGATTGGTCCAGTCTCCACTAGATACCATGGAGCCAATGGTTGAATATCAAAATGCTTACCTAATTGGGTGAGTAGAGGGGAGATCTGACATTTTCTGGCTCACCAGATATCAGTTTTAGTATCTGTGGCTTGTCTCACAGGTCAGTCCTCACCTGTTGGTCATTGTAGAACCTGTTTTATCCACTGACAATATTCCTATCTTATATATTCCTGGTACTTTCCACCATATGTCCAAGCAAATTAATTATATTACTTTATTTTACAGGCAAAGTTGCATGTGTTAAACACTTGTAGGCAAATCCATAAAAAACTCACAACCTTAACTTCCCTAAGTGCCAGTTTCTTCACCTGTAAAACTGAGATAATAACAGTTACCTCGCAAGAATAGTATGAGGATTATATGAGCCAATGTGCTAAAGTACTTAGAAAAGTATCTGGTATATATAAGTTGTTTAATAAATAGGAACTGACAATATTGCAATTATTCAAAATAAGCATCCAAGTTATTACTTCTTAGGAGAATGATAGTATTAGCAAGCTCTAAAATTATAGGAAACAGTGCCACCACTTCCACTATTCCTGGGGTGGTATTTCCAGGAGGGCTGACTGCTAACTTCCTCCCTGTCCAGTAGGCAAAGCCAACTGGTATCCTGGTGAAGAAAGATCCCAATTCTTGTTCCCACTCCCCTCTTCTCTCTGTAAATAAGGAGCAGAGCCACAATATGGATCAACTAACTTTTGTTTTGCAATTTCAAGTGTGTGCTGGCTCCCTAACACAATCTCCTTTCGGGTGGACTTTTCACCAGAACATGCTATTATCTTGTCTGGGGAATGCTGTAGATATAAAAAAAAAAAATCCCAAGGAGATGTTTTGAATATACAAAAATGTAACTCCAGGAAGAATTTTATTCCTTCTTACAGCAGAACTCTCTCCTTGTTTCCCTCCTCCGGGGACACTTAGTGAATAATGTGTGCGGGCTCAGGAGTAATTGAGAATAATGGCAGTGTCAACCTTAGGACAAGTGATAAATCTTAGTTTGTTTATGACTTAGAAATGTTATTAATGTTTGATCAAAAGAACACTTCTTAGTTGTAATTAAAATATGCTAGAGCAATTCTTTAGCTTCACAAATAAAGAAAGAGGCTTGCAAAGCAACTTCAGAAATTTCCTCCCAGGAGGCACAAAGTAAACTTTGATGAGAAGCAGCCAAACCACAGATTATTCTAGAGCATGTGTAATTTCAAGGATCTGCTATACTATTTCATTTATTTTTAAATATTCATATGTCCTGGCTGCCTACTATCTACAGTGATGACACTGTCTCACTCACAGGGAAGTTAGGTGGAGATAGATATAAATACATAAGTGATTACAAAAATATGTGATAAGTACAAAAATAACATTCTGTACTAAGTGCTATGGGAGCACAAGAGCTGTGATGCTTGAATGGGATCTTTTTAGAAAGGAAATAATATGGCCTCAATCCTACAGATTTTGATTTAATTATCTTGCAATAGGACCCAACTTAGGTATTTGTTTTTAAAGTTTCACTGATACCTATGTGCAGCCAAGATTGAGAGGCACTGCCCTAACCGATATCAGTCCTACTGAGCTTCCTTATTCTTGGCAGTAGCAGCTTTATGATCTCTCTCAGGGAAAGAAGGCAATGAAAGTTTTTATATTCTAGTTTTAGGATCTCACCATGAGACAACATGGGACTCAGCATCCTTTGCACCCTGCATGTGAACAGAGATGCCCGTTTGGCGCAAGAATGGGAGGCAACTAAAACCAACCAGATATACTCGGAGACCAGGACTTTATTTCTCTGAATCTTAATTTCCCATTCTAAGAGGAAAGAATTAGACACGACTGACCTTCTGTAAAAAATCACAAGTACAGAAAATGCTTGAGAGAAAGATACTGGGATGGTAATTGTCAAATTTAGGTGGTGATAAGAATCCTCAGAGGGAACTTCTTATAATGCATATTCCTGGGCCTCATCCCCAGGGAACTTGTTTGAGTATGCTGACAGTGGGGAATTACGTGCATAAATTGTGTATTTTTCATAATCTAATTGGGTTATTGGGTTATTCTTTCTGTAGGGAACTTGAATATACTTTGAAAAAAAAAACCACAGTGGGGTTGAGGAATCCCAGTTGGTGCCAAAAAGGTTTTATAATTTTTTTAAGAAAATGAAAGGAACAGAAGAGGAGAAGTCTTGGGTATGACAGAAAAGAAATTGTCATGTGCCAAAGTATATTTTGGTTTAAAAACAGTGCTTTAGTGTTGGAAAGGATCACCAAGGTGATTTGGTCTAATTACATGTAGCAACATCAGTTAAGCCATCATAAATGAATAGCCATGTAGCCTGGCTGAATTCTCTCAGGGGATTCCCTACATCCCTTTTCCATTTCTGGTTGATTCTGGTTGTCTCTTCACTGACCACATCCATCAATCTATACTTTTTGCCTTTTGGCTTTCAGCAACATTGAATAAGCTAGCTTGTTCCTGCTCACACTCCTTTGTCTATACTTGGTAATGGGTCTCTTGTCATTTGGCAAAACAGTCTTCCTTTCTCCCTGAAGAGGCCTCTTCCTCCAATTATTCTTCTTTCAGTAGTTTTCAGAGCATTCACCATCCTGCTCACAGTACTCTGAAAACTGCAGCAAGTCTCAGAAAGGGTCTTCCTAAATGCTCCCCAAAAAGCAGTATTACCCACATCTGCTGTCCTCTACCCCATGGACAATGAGAGCATTGCTTCCTGAAGTCACTTCCTATTACTTTTTTCAATGTATTTACTGAATATTAGCAAATCAACTTGAATTAGATCTAGAAGAAATTGGTGGTTCCTTCCAATCACTGACCCCATGGCAAGGAGTAAACTCATTGAAACGGAAGAGAAATTGAATGCCTTAGAATCAGTTAACCAACTCTAATCTACCTGAAATCACTCTTAGAACCTGTGCCCGAGAGTACCTGAACTAAGCGTGTCAGGATTCCGTAGATTCTTGGAGGCTGAAGGAGCAGAGAAATTATAAAGATTAAATGCAGTAATCAGGGCTTTAATCCCACTCCACATCCAAAACCAAGTGTTTGGATTGTCATGTTCTGATTCCATAAAGCTTGGCTCATCACCATGGGTAGTAAATGGTCATTTTATGGAAGGTACTCACTACTGGGTTGGCAAAACCAAAACCATAATTTTCTCCATGAATCTTTGATTTGTGAAGTTGTTTTTCTAATACCAACTGTGGCAGAGTTTTTACATATCATGCACAAACAAGGCAGAAGCCTCTGTTCTTTAAGAGGCCAGGAGGAAACCTGGCCCAGTGGCTCACGCCTGTAATCCCAGCACTTTGGGAGGCCGAGGCGGGTGGATCACTTGAGGTGAGGAGTTCAAGACCAGCCTGACCAATATGGTGAAACCTTGTCTCTACTAAAAAAAAAACAAAAATTAGCTGGGCATCGTGGCATGGGCCTGTAGTCCTAACTACTCAGGAGGCTGAGACAGGAGAATCAATTGAACCCAGGGAGTGGAGGTTGCAGTGAGCCAAGATAATACCACCTCACTCCAGCCTAGGTGACAGAGTGAGACTCTGTATCAAAAAACTAAAACAAAAAACAAAAAAAAAAAACAAAAAAGAGGCCAGGAGGAATGGAGGCAGGAAAGACAGAATGTCTGTTTCTACCCAAGTTCTATGCAGTGAGAAAAGGTGTTGTGGAAGAAAAACTGGGAAATAAAATGGTCTAAAAATCTTCTAAGGGAAAATAAACAAAACATTTTATTCTCTGTGGAAATGTCCATGCTATTCAGTCAACTAAGGTGACTGGCAATGCAGTGGGAGGTGAGTTATGGGCAGAGGACCAGAGAACTAGAAGATTGGACTACTCCATCTTTTTAGAGAAAACATTCTCCCAGACACGTAGAACTCACTCGGTAAGACATGGTCAAGGGTACACTCCTGCTCAAGGATCTACAATGATGCTTAACCACCTTAGCACACAGTCCTCTGCAGGTTTTCTGCCTCATGTATTACCACCTCTCCATAACATGCAAATTCTCCATAATGAAGCTCCAAGGGACCATCCTCCAGAGTCAGGGCTAGAGATTCAGCAGTGTCAGCTGTTTTCTCTGCCCTGAACATGGTGGTCTCTTTCATAACCCAAGTCATTATTCTTGCTGGCTCTTCAACAGCCAGATTTCTTCTGATCTCTTTCCAATGAAAATCTAATTATGTTTTAGCATCAACCACAATGCTATGTCCATTAAATATTTCTTGATTTTTTAATGATTGCTATGATTTATAAAGCTTCAATTACATAGCAGGCATCACTATTAAGTGATAAATATATTATTATCGAATTCCCATAACCATCTCATAATATAAAACATCATTTTTTCTTGTTTTGGGACTGACAACAGAAACTTAAACAAGTTTTGTCTTCCCGTTAATGTCACAAAGATTATAAGTAGATAACTTGTACTTTGGACCCAGATCTGAACATACCAGAATCAATACTCATGGTCCTCTGTCACCTTTCATTATTACTCTTGCCTTCTACTTATACTTCCTCAAATAATACTTATAAGTATACTATACTTATACTATACTACTTATACTTCCTCAAATGTAAATGTGTCTCTACTGAGTACCTATTCCAACTTTAAATATAATTTGCTATTTGCAGATCTACTTTCATTGCTCTGCTGTAAGCAGTTCTTTCTTATCTCCCAATCCTTCCTCTCAGTTGGAGGAAGAGCCATACCAGATAAAAATGTATTGAACTCAAAGTGAATGAAAAATGAACAAGACTTTGCTTCTGGCTATGATGTACCTTGTATCAGAGTAACTCACATTAAAAGAAACACAAAAAGAAGTCATTTAGTCAGAAGGAATATAACCCCTGGTAAAAGATGAGGCAAGCATATATTTAAAAATTATGAGGTAAATAACCAGATATAAATAAATAGACATTGTTTAAAATAATAGCAATAATGGTTTTGGGGTTTTAATATACATTGTAGGTAAGGGTTGCAAAATCTTTGGTGTGGAGGTGATAAAATACTAATTTGTTATATATTCTAATAAAAAGGAATAAATAAAACTGAACTAAAGAAATAAATAACATGCAAACTATTAGAGGGCAAATGGATGATTTATAAAATCTGTAATTATTTCAAAAGAAGGCAAGACTATGAAAAAATAATACATATGAACATATATAGAACAAAGGATAAGATGTTAGATTTAAGTAAAAGTATATTTGTAATGTAATTAAAATAGACTAAATCCTCTCTCTAAAATAAGAATTGATAGGCTGGATTATAAAAAGAAGAAACTAAACTAGCTAACCCATGATTATAAGAAACACCATTGACCACCCTGGCTAACACAGTGAAACCCCGTCTCTACTAAAAACACAAAAAAATTAGCGGGCGTGGTGGCGGCACCTGTAGCCCCAGCTACTCGGGAGGCTGAGTCAGGAGAATGGCTTGAACCCGGGAGGCGGAGCTTGCAGTGAGCCGAGATTGTGCCACTGCACTCTAGCCTGGGCAACAGAGCAAAACTCTGTCTCAAAAAAAGAAAGAAACACCATTAAATATAAGGACACAGAAAACACAAAGATAAAAGGAATGTAAAGATTAAAAATGCGCCAAGCAAATACTAACCAAGAAGAAAGCCAGTGTTGCCCTACCACCATTGAAAAGGGAGATATTTATGGTTAGAAATATTTCCAGAGGTAAGGAAAACATTTTATGATAATAAAAGAGTCTACTCAACAGAAATATGCATCTATTCTAAACTTATATTCCCTTTTTGTTTTCAAAACAACATGTGAAGTTTAGTGTATTTTACTGATGCATACAATTTGTTTAGACAGGAAAATAGAAAATGGATGGAAAAGGATAAAAATTATGCCTACTGGGAATCACCAAAGCATATCTCAAAACAAAAAGGAATCACACAGGAGTAATCTAAATTTATCAGGAAGAATTTGGGCTGGATGGGGTAAAGAATGCATAATCAAGAAAGCCAAGTAAAAAAAACAATTTGTATAATATATGCCCTTATTACTATGTCCTGAAATAACATATAAAATGAATGGTGGTGATTAAGTCAGTCATAGTATCTAATTTATCTTTCTTTTGACTCTTTCAGTGATATGATTATTCTTTTTATCACATGTGTATAAAAAGCCTAATCATGAATGTTTGACATTCGAGATAGCTTATGTGGTATTATTTCTATTGACATAAATATGCCATTATGTATTCATACATATGCAATATTTATGTGCAGTTGCATCTATGCAAACGTGTGTATAGTGCAACCAAATAAGGTATTAATGCTGACGTGTATAGGTCAATAAAATGATCCCTGTTTGGAAGAGCGCTAAACAATTTACCCAACCTTATATGCACCTTGAATCACCTGTGACTACATGATAGGCGTAATATGCAGATCTGTGCAATCCTCAGCTTTATGAAAGTTCCTTTGGAATGATGATGCTGTATTAAGATCATCTCTTAATAATTTATACTTTTTCTTAATATTATTTTGTTTACTAATTATTAAATAGGTAATACACATTGATCAAAATTCAACAATATAAAAGTGAATACAGTGAATAGTGTGCTTCCCTTCCTCCCTCTTTTGATCCCAGATAAACCAGTTATTCTCTTTGAAAGCAATGACTAATGTCTATTTAATTTCCAAAGGTATTCAGTGCATTTAATAATAACATCTAGTAATTATATATAATATATATAACAACAGATTTATGTATCTGTGTATGTGTATATGTATGTGTGTTTATATCTCTCTTTCTTCTTTAGTCACATTGTTTTACAGCTGAATTTTTCACTTAAAACTACCACAGGGAGATTTATAAAATTGTCTTTTTACATGGCTATAGAATATTTCATTTTATGAAGGTATCAAATTTATTGTACTTGTCTTCTTATATGGAAATTCATTTCATTACTTTATTTTACAATTATAATTATGCAATGAATGTCCAAGCACATATATTATCTTGCTTCCACCCCACCCCAAGAAAATGAAAGTGCTTCTGTAGAATAAGTACCATATTCAGAATGCTGGATTAAAAAGCCTTTTCAGTTTTAACTTTGAAAGCTACAGCCAAGTTGTCCTGCAAGAAGACAATTCAGGTTGACAGTTCCACTAATAGTGACTTACCCTTATCAATGTTCTCAGCATATTGTTCTGGGAGAACTCCAGGAGAGTGGGAGAGAGGCACAAGAAGGCAGCTAGAAGTTTCTGAAAAGGCAAAGTTGCAACACCCGCTATGATGATTGGTGACTGACCACATTCTTGAGCTAACCCGATTTAGAAAGGATTCTCAACATTAGAAACTCTATTAGGTTCCTCTTTCCTGCAGACAAATGATATGCAGCAGTCATTCTTTGAAACTACAAGACTTCAGTAATATAAATTTTGGTGTTTGCCACTACTTCATATAAAATCAGTGGAACAAGCATTAGTAAAAAATCAACTTAAAGAGTTAAAAAAGTATTTTAAAAATGCTGTTGAAAGCCCCATGGTAGATTGTGTCACAGGGAAAAGTGGGTATTTATGGAAGGGGAGGCAGAAGGAGAGGGTCGAGAATTACATTAAACCTTTAAAAATAAATCATGTTTTAGTCCTCTGTATATGGATGTTCCATTCTCTCAGCACCATTTATTAAAGTGACTGTTTCTTCCCCAATGTTCTTGGAATCTTTGTCATAAATAAATTGGCTATAAATATGTGGATTTATTCCTGGATTCTCTGTTCTGTTCTGCCTGTCTATGTGCCTGTTTTTATGCTAGTACCATGCTGTTTTGGTTACTATAGTTTTATAAAATACTTTGAAGTGACTTAGTGTGATGCCTCCAGCTTTGTTATTTTTGCTCAGGATTGCTTTGGTTATTCAGGGTCTTTTGTAATTCCAATCAATTTTAGGATTTTTTTTTCTATTTCTGGGAGGAAGACTGTCATTGGTATTTTGACAGGGACTGCATTGATTCTACAAATCATTTCTGTTGGCATGGTCATTTTCACAATATTAATTCTTCCATTCCATAAATGTGGGAAGTCTTTCCATTTTTTCATATCCTCTTCAATTTCTTTTCATCAGTGTTTTACATTTTTCCTTGTGGAGGTATTTCACTTTCTTTGTCAAATTTATTCCAAAAAAATTATTTTTTGTAGCTATTATAAATGGGATTGCTTTCTTGATTGTTTTTACACTAGAGAGTAGTTGGTGCACAGAAACTCTACTGATTTTTATATGTTGATTTTGTATCCTGCAACACTGTTAAATTTGTTTATCAGTTCTAAAATGTTTTGGTGACTCTTTTAGGGTTTTTAATACATAAAATTATGTCATCTGCAAAGACAATTCGACTTCCTGCTTTCCAATTTGGATACTCTTTGTTACATATCTTTTGTTAATTCAAAGGATAGCAGATTGGTTCTAGAAATAACAAGGACCATTTTTATATATGAAATACAAATCAAATTTTCTTCATAATTAGAAAAGCTTTGAAACCTATCTTCTTCTCTCCTCCCTCCTTCCTTTTCCTGGTCTATGAACTTTATTATTCAAGAAAGATGACTTCAATTGCTGCTAGCTTCACATAATTTTCACCTAGTTCTCCATATAAATACAGATTATTCAGGAAGGTTGAGAAACCTGCCTACAAGAACTAGCCCACACACTTCCAAAGCTGTCAATATAATAAATATAATATAATAAATAAAATAACTAAGTTCTGTGGCTTTTCCCCATGTGATTCAGGCCTGTATATATTCTCTCATCATTGCATCCTTTCATGTAAGGTAGTGCTCCTGGGTATATTTATGAAATTACTCCCATGTCTGCTCAAAAAGTTGGCTTTCAGACCTCTGTAGCTGGTGACTAAGTAAACTGTCAGGGTGTAGTCCTCAGGGGCAATTTGTAGACAGTTACCACATACAGTGTGGTCAGGAGTTGTGGAGCAGAAAGTTCCCTGAATTAAGTAGAAGGAAGGAGTAGAATATTTTCAGAGAAGAACTGTGTTCATGGTTTATTTCACTTTTTAAAAATTTTCTTAAACACCCGACACGGTTATTCATTTAAATAATTGGGGTAGAGGAAAGAAAGGGAGAAAAAAATTACACTTAGATTAACCATGTTAAACCATTCTGTTACATTTTATTTTGTTTTTTTTTTTCTATTTTTTAAACACAGGTTATTTAGCATACATTTATTGAGTATCTGGCATTATGCTAGATGTAGTTGTGGTCACGTTACGTGGTCAATTTTGGATCCTGAAAATTCTCATTTGACTTTACAATCAAATTATTTCTTGATATTACATATACTTTGTTATAAATATTAACTATATTTTAACATGAAAATTATTGGACTTAGAATGTTAATAGTTTGTTTTATGTGCTAAAAGTAAAAAAAGATAATATTCTTTAGAACCAGATGAACACAAATCCAGATTCACCTCATTACCAGCAGGGTAAATGAAGGCAAAATATGTAGTTAATCTGCTCCTCAATTTTTTCCTTGGAAGTCTAATTGCTGGATCATATGGTAGTTCTGTTTTTGAAGACCCTCCATACTGTTTTCCACAATGACTGCGCCATTTTGCATTTCTGAAAACAGTATAGAAGGGTTCCAATTTCTCTGCATCCTCACCAACATTTGTTATCTTCTGTAGTATTTTTTTATTAGAGCCATCTCTTGATTATCTGCTCTCCGATCCATATCTTCAACTTCTGCCTTACTGTTCTACATATTTCATTAATGATCAAGCATGCAGAAGTCTTTTCCAGTTTTAAAAACAAAGAAACCAAAGCAAAAACAAACCATAACCACTTCTTCAAGCCCGTATTTCCGTCCAGCTACTTCCATTTAATTTATATTTACAGGGCAACCTCTCAAAGGAAGCATTTTCACTCTTACTCTGTTTTTTACCTCCCATTCTCTACTCAACCCACCCTCATAAGGCTTTATCCTTTCCACTCCAGTAAAACAGCTCTCACTAAAGTCAATAATGGCCTTCTTTTTTTAAAGCCAATTTACATTTCTGAGTCCTCATGTTAATTGATCTAGGAAGAGCACTTGAAACATTTGAACACGTCTTCTTTTTAAAAACATTTTTCTCTTAGATACTCTGGTATCACAAACTCTTGGTTTTCCACATAACTTTCATGCTGCTCCAATTCAGTCTTTACTTTTGACTTTATTTTCTTACCTGTCCTTTTAGTTTTACTTTAATGTATGTATTTTTCCTACTTGTTAATTTATAAATTACATGCTAGTATGGGCTGAATTGTGGCCTGTCAAAATTTATATAATGAAGTGCTAATTCCCTGTATCTTAGAATGTGACTGTATTTGGGGCTTTATAATTATCTTTCTCCCTATTTAGAAAGGTAATTCAAATGAAATGAGGCTGTTCGGGTGGTTCCTAACCCAATATGACTGCTGTGTGTATAAGAAAGAGGAAATTTGGACACAGGCATGTGCCTGCGCACAGAAAAGACCAAATGAGGAAGTAACAAGAAGTCAGCCATCTGCAAGCCAGGGCGGGAGGCCTCAGGGAAAACCAAACCTGTCAACACAATGATCTTGGACACCTAGCTCCAGAACTGTGGAAAAAATAAATTTATATTATTTAAGCTACCCAGTCTGTAGTATTTTGCTATGGCAGCCCTAGCAAAGTAATACATATACACTGAAAGGTAAAAATGTTAAGTGTTCAGTAATGCAGTTTTATACATTTGTAAGGTAGTATATAGTCACCACCTAGATGAACAAATAGATCATTACCAGCCTCCCAAGTGACTCCGACAAAGTAACCACCATCCTGATCTCTATTAGCACAGATTAATTTGTTTTTCAATTCCAAGCAAATGGAATCATACTGTAGTAAGCTTTTTTTTTGCTTCCCATTTCTTTTGTTCAAAATTACATCTGTAAGATTCATTCTTTTTATTGGATGTAGCAGTAGTTTACTTTTTTATTACATAACTATAGTATTCCATTTTATTGCTATAATTTTGGTTATCTGTGCTATTGGAAATAATATGCTCTTATTATTTATTGCTAACATTCTAAGAATGCAGTTGACTTTTCAATACAAATCTTTTATCCAGAGACCATGATAAGTCTCTTAGACATTTTAGATTTTGAGGTGAGGAGAGTTATGAGGTGGCAGGGAATGTTTTCTATGTAAGAAAACATGCCTCCTATAAATAATGAGTTTTACTTCCTCTGAATGCTTACTTCCTTTCTAATCTTTGTAAATTTTGTTTTTTCTTTGCCCTACTGTAGTAGCTATGCCTCCAGTACAATGTTGAAGTAAAGATTGAAACCACCCTTAATTGGTTCCTGAGCTCAGGTTGGAAAATGTCAATACTTCACCACTGAGTATGTTTGCTCTAGGCTTTTTGTACATACCATATTTTTTAAGAATTATAAAGTTTCTTCTATTTTTTTCCTAGAGATTTACACGTGTATGTGTTAAATTTTCATTAAATGTTCTCTCTATATTTAGCATAATCAGCATGTATCTTTATTCTATTAATGCGGTGCATTATATCTGATGATTTTTAAATCTTGTTACAAAATCTACTTGGTCTGGCCATGCTAGGTGGCTCCAGCCTGTAATCCCAGCACTTTGGGAGGCCAAGGCGGGCAGATTACTTGAGGCCAAAAGGTCAAGACCAGCCTGGCCAACATAGCAAAACCCCATTTCTACTAAAAATAAAAAAAATACAAAAATTAGCTGGGGGTGATGGCCAGTAACTGTAATCCCAGCTACTCGGAATGCTGAGGCAGGAGAATCGCTTGAACCTGGGAGGTGGAGGTTGCAGTGAATCAAGATCATGCCACTGCACTCCAGCCTGGGTGACAGAGAGAGACTGTGTCTCCAAAAAAAAAAAAAACTGCTTGGTCTTAATGCATTATTCTTTTTATATGTTACTGGGTTTGATTTATCATGTTATGAATTTTGTCAAGTTTTTACACAGATACAATTCTGTTATTACAAACAAGTTGGGAACATTTGTTTATCTTTTTCCATTCTCTGAAAAATGAGTGTAAAATTGTATTAATAGTTCCTTAAATGTTTGAAAGAGTTTATTAATGTATTCATCTGGAGCTATAATTGTCTGTGTGAGGAAGATCTCTTTCTAATTGATAAATTTATTTTTCATATGTGAGTTCACTTTTCCTGTTTCTTCTTGTATCAGTTTTGACAATTTTTTTAAAATTGATAATTTCATGTTTTTGTAAATTATTTTTCGTAAAACTTTTTAACGTAAGACCGGATATTTTCAAGGTCTGTAAAATGCATGGTAATTTATCTTCTTTATTCACATATTCTGCATGTCTCTTATACCGTTGTGTCTTGTTTTAATCTTTCATTTTCCTTCTGTGCTTCCATTACATTTTTTTATTGACTTCTCGAATTCATTAATCCTACCTTGTTTGTCATGTTTTCTAAAATCTTACTAGTGAGTTTTGTATTTTATATATTTTGTTTTCCGGGATTCTATATGGTTGAGGGGTATGGGATTGAGCTGAGCCAGAGTCAGGTTGATGTTTTTAGTAAGGATCTGTTCAATTCTAGTTTGTGCCTCTTTCTTGTGCATGGACTTCCTTGGCTTTTCATTCAAAACCTGGTGTGTTTCTATTTCCTTATCCTCCAAAATGATGAAGAATATTCAATTCTGCCTTTTCTGATGTTTTGGACATACTCTTTAGCTCATTCTTTGAAGCTTCAGAAGGGCACATATCTTAATGGAGGGGCAAGATGTGTGCTCGATGCAGGCCCATCCTTCTAGCTGGAGTGCAATGGCACAATCTCGGCTCACTGCAACCTCTGCCTCCTGGGTTCAAGCGATTCTCCTGCGTCAAGCTTCCTGAGTAGCTGGGATTGCAGGCACTGGCCAACACACCCTGCTAATGTTTTGTATTTTTAGTAGAGACGGGGTTTCACCATGTTGGTCGGTCTGGTCTCAAACTCCCAACCTCAGGCGATCCATCCACCTCGGCCTCCCAAAGTGCTGGGATTACGGGACTGAGCCACTACGCCCAGCCACAGACCCTTTTATGTAACTTCCTGAGCTGGACAGTTAAATTGTGTCATAATACATGTCAATGAAGTTTAGTTTTTAGTAGGTGCTTTTAATCAATCACATAATTTCATGTACTGTAGTGAACTCTCAGCTGATGAAGGATTTCAAATCATATAAATGCTTTCAATTTGATTACCCTTGAATCTTCACTTTCAGTGGTGTTCATGAAAATATCTCCATACACTTTGCAGCTATATCATTTTCAACCAAACCACTCCTAGGATCTGATTAACCCACAGAAGTAACTTTGTGGCCTCTAAATCTAAGCTGACTGCAACCCCTTGGAACTAAGTTTATGATAGGAGAAGTCACCTTGTGGTTTATAGTTTAATATGCTCAGTGAACTCTAATGGTGCTTTTCTCTTTCTTCAGCAGACACAAATAATTTCCATGACTGAAGATAAAAGTATACTTTGTATGTCTTTATTGCTTTTTCTTTATTTTCTGTTGTTTGATCCGTATGCTGTCAACCTAGCACAAACATCATATTTTTCTAACCACTTCTTCAATATAAGTTATGTTTTCTGCCTTTCTCCTGTTGGCACGCAAAGACAGAAGCAGGTGCAAAAGAGGCCGACTATTCCGCTGCTGTGGGTCCATTCCACATTAGGTTGATAAATCATGTAAGCATAAGCCATTTGTCAAAAATACTTTTATTGGAATCAGAATTACTTTATGTGCAGGGGTTGCAGGACTGGTTTGCCAGCTCATACTAAATAATTTATCAAATCCTGATTTGCTAGAAATATAATACAGAAGGAACACATAATACAATTAAATAAAGTTCCTCTATCTTGTAATAGGACTTTGAGAGAAATGTAATTACACATCATTGTCATATCATAAATACAATTATGCTGAATTCAGTAGTCAAATGTGTGCTCATGTATTTCAAAATACATACAATAAGTAGGGGTTATATTTTGTTACCAAACTTAACTTCATAGTAGTGAATATTCTTCAATCATAGCTATAACTCTTTTGTAGATCTTTCTACTGCTGCTGATGATAAAATAATAATCCTGTTTGATAAAAATGAAACATTTGGTTGTCTCTTGAGTTTCTCACTGAACTCCAGGTAACAAGGAATTTCCTTCTGCTTACCTATGAAATTCTTCTTTATCAACATTTTTACCATTTATTATGGTAAAAATATCTGGGATCTCTCTCTGATCAACCTTTGAAATTAAAACTCATGAGTCTATCTGAAAACTAAAGAAAAAATGTAAATTCCTTTAAAAAATGATTATAATGTCTGCTACTGAGGAACATGACAACAAACCTCTGTGTTAGTAAATTTGTAACAGTGTTCACTATTTGGGTAATGGGTACCCTAGAAGCCCGGTCCCCACTAGTATACAATATACCCAGGTAACTAACAAGCACATGCACCCCCTGAATCTAAAATAAAAATAAATAAGTAAAAATCTTACATTAATTGAAGGAATGATGAGCATATCATCTTTTAAAAACCCAGTGGAAAATTTTCTCTCAGCTTTGCTTAAGATAACTGCTTTCAGATCACATGAGGTCAGGAGTTCAAGACCAGCCTGGCCAACATGGTAAAACCTCGTCTCTACAAAAAGACAAAAATCAGCGGGGCATGGTGGCACATGCCTGTAATCCCAGCTTCTCGGGAGGCTGAGGCAGGAGAATCACTTGAACCCAGGAGCTGGAGGTTGCAGTGAGCCGAGATCATGCCATTGCACTCCAGCCTGGGTGACAGAGAGAGCAAGACTCATCTTGGGGGGAAAAAAATACTTCTGCCTCTCTTTTTTCTTATTTTTATTTTTTGTGGGTACATTGCTTCTGTATCTTCTAACCATTGTTTAATTTTGTATCTTGAGAGCGCTGCAATTCATGTAGTAATCATATTTTCTCTCTACTTTGGCTCTTCTGCAACTAACCATCACACTTTAATATCCGAGCAGAATTTTTCACACGTGTTTTGAATAGCTATCACTCTTCCATTGGCATTGCATGTGTTTTTCTGTCATTGTGTGTGTGTGTGTGTGTGTGTGTGTGTGTGTAATGACCTTATGTATTATTTATGACAATAAGAAATGTAAATTCTAAGGTATCTTATCATACACAATGACTGACTTTCAATTTGTTGTGAGAGTATTATATTTTTATTCTCTATTCCATTTCAATTTATTCTATCAAGTATGTTTCTTTAAACACTTATCTTTTTGTTTATTGAATTTGGTACTTCTGTCTTCAGAATTCATAGTTTCCTCATGACTTGGTAGCTCCTAGTGTTTTTTTGGTTTGATCATTTGTTTTGTTTCTTAATCGTTTTCTGAGTAGTAGTCTGCATAATTTCTCTAGTTGTTTTTCTATACACCTAAATTTTTTCTGCTGTTTATCTTTCAGAATTGCCTCAATTCCTTCTTTTCTCCCGTTTTATTGAGGTATTGTTGGCAGATAAAAATGTATATATTTAGGGTGTACAATGTGACGTTTTGATACATTGGTAATTATTTCACCATGTAGATGTATATCAAAACAGAATTGCCTTAATGTCCTGTGTGCTGATGGTAGTTATTGTTTTTATTGTATTTCCCTTTTTCCTATGATTTTCTAACTTTCTGTAATTCCATGAATGAGAGGAATACAGAGACTCAGTTGGCCATCTTGATTTAGTCTCCCCCAATCATTTTCTATCTGTTGGAAAAGGGCATCTACCACTGACAGATGTGTGTGGTCTACTTCCGGGCCCTCACTTCTGTTACGTTCATCCAAGTGTCTGTTCTTTTACTAATAACACAGTGTCTTGATCACTTTGGTTTAGGTTAGCCTTAAAGTTGGATAATATCCATTGTCTAACTTTGTTCTTCTTCTTTAATATTGTGTTGGCTGTTCTGGCTTTGTTTGGTTTATATTTTTCCTTTTCCAATAAATTTTAGTATGAGTTTATAGACATCTACAAAATTAGACGGTTGGGATTTTGAGTGGAATTGTATTGGTTTAATAGATCCAGTTGGAAGTAACTGACATCTTAACAATATTGAGTCTTGCAATCCATGAACATGAAATATTTCTCCATTTATTTAGTGTGTCTTTGGTTTCTTTCACCAGAGCTTCGTCATTTTCCACATCCATTTATAGTGATCTTATAAATTTTGTTAGATTTATTCCTAAGGATTCACTTTTTATGTTAATGTAAATTATATTGTGTTTTATATTTCAAGTTCTAATCGTTTGTTGCTCTTATAAAGGAAAGCAATCAACTTTTTATGTTAACTTTTTATCTTGTGGCCCTGCCATATTTTTTAAATTAATTACAGGAACTGTGTCCTGTAATTCTGATGTAATTACAGGACTTCCTGTAATTCTCTGTGTCTTGATTCTAATTTTCTTTACTCACTGCATTAGCTAGGATTTTCAGTACGATCTTCAGCAGGAGTGGTAAGAGAGGACATCTTTACCTTGTCTCCAACTTAAAGTGAAAACATTCGGTTTCTCACAATAAAGTATGATATTAGCTGTAGGTTGTTACAGATGTTCTTTATTGAGGTGAGAAAATTCCCTACTATTCCTAGTTTGCTTAGAGTTCTTAGAGGTTTTTTTTCCCCCTCATCTTGAATGAGTACTGGGCTTTTTCAAATGATTTTTCTATATCAAGTGCTATTATCATATTCTTTCTTTTTTACAATGTTGATTTGATGGATTAATTTTTTGTGTGTGTGATGAAGTCTCGCTCTGATGGCCAGGCTGGAGTGCAATGGCCTGATCTCAGCTCACTGCAACCTCTGCCTCCCGCGTTCAAGCGATTCTCCTGCCTCAGCCACACGAGTACCTGGGACTACAGGCACATGCCACCATACCTGGCTAATTTTTTGTATTTTTAGTATAGACGGGGTTTCACCGTGTTAACCAGGATGGTCTCAATCTCCTGACCTCATGATCCACCAGCCTCAGCCTCCCAAAGTGCTGGGATTACAGGTGTGAGCCATCATGCCCGGCCATTATTTTTTTTTTTTTAATGTTGAACCAGACTTGCACATCTGGAGTAAATCACACTTGATTGTGGTGTATAAATACTTTTATACATTATTGGATGGCATTTGATAACAATTTGTTGAGATTTTTGCATCTATGTCTACAAGAGATATTGGATGTAGTTTTTATTTCTTGTAATGTCTTTATTTTTGGCATCAGGGTAATACTGGTAATACTGGTAATACTAAGATAAATTAGGAAGTGTTTTCTCTTTAATTTTCTAGAAGCGATTGTAGAAACATGGTTTAATTTGTACCTAAATATTTTTTAGAATTAGCTAGGGAAAGCATCTGGGCCTGGTGCTTTCTTTAATGGAAGATTATTAATTATTGATTAAATGTATTTAATAGTTTTAAGCCTATTTAGATTACCTACTCTTCCTTTTGTGAATTTTGTTATTTTTTGTTTTTCAATAAATTGGTCTATTTCATCCATTATTAAATTTGTGGGCACAGAATTACTCACAATGCTTTATTATTATCCTTTTAATGTACATAGGATCAATAGTGATGATCCCTCTTGCATATCTAATCATAGTAATTTGTGTCTTCTTTTTTATGGACAATTTCTGCTTTGTTTCAAAACTGCCATTAGACTAGCTATTTTATATTAGAAATGTACCACTACCCCTCCTACAAGCAGCAGTTGGGAGGTGTTTAGTTCTGACGTTTTATGCAGGCTTTTTGTTGGTTTCTTTATTTCCCTTCTCAGACTTATTTGCTGATTTCTTTTATGCACAATGTCTTTCTTGTTAGATTTTCTCATATCATGCCACAGAAATCCACAGACATAATCAGAATCTAGTCTCTCAAAGGGTATAAGCTGCCCAGAGAGAAAGGTGAGCTGTGAGAAGATTTATTCCTTGGAAGAGCCATTGGAAGACACCAAGCCAATTACCAAGAAAGGTTTCTACACAACTTTTCAACTATCATAGTAGTTTGAGATCTTAAATTTCACAAATCATTTAATATATCAACTCATCCCACAAAGCGTCAAATCCCCTGATAAATAAATGTTACCCTGATGTTTTAGAAATGAGGCAAAAGTGACAATGGAAAGAAACTGGTTATCAGATCAAATGTCACGTATGTTTCCCCTTGATGGAAATTCCTGGTGAGTTACATTCTGATATCTTTCTGTTGTAAGAAGGAATTCCCTGATATGAATTAGACATCTTTTCTCACTTTCCTGGCCTTACTAGAAATATCCCCAACAGAATTTGCCCTGCATATTGACTGTCACACAAGTATCCTTACAGGCCCACTTACAAAATCATTTTCCTTTGATGTGATTTTTGAATAACATTTTCACTGAAATACAATGAAGGTTTATTTTTTATTAAGAAATTATTATATGTTCTACTTTTGACCATAACAGAATTAGCAGTACTGGACTTTTCCCGCTCTCAAAAAGCAACTATAAAACTAAACATATGTGAAGTAAATTGGAAGTGGGAGGTGGACATAGAGAGAAAAAATTCTAGTTCCAATATCAGGAGTGACAGAGTAGGTATTGGTATAAATGATAGATAATTTATTATTGAAATAAAAATAAAATATGATTGACAATTTTTTGCCAAAATGTTTACAACTTATATGAAATAGGTAAGTTACTTGAAAACAAAACTTACCATAACTGGAAGAAATATAAAGAGAATATTTTACTATTCCCATATCTTTTAAATAAAATGGTTTCATAGTTAAATACATACCCACAAGAAAACTCTGGACAAAGATGGGTTTATTTGAGAATGCTGTCAATCAATGTATAAACAAATAACACCAATCTGCACAAACTGTTTCAGAACATAGAAAAGGAAAGATTTTCTAGCTGATTTTGTGAGGCCAGCATTACTTTTTTAAAACAAAACCAGATAGAGTGCATA
Source organism: Homo sapiens (assembly GCF_000001405.40). Lineage (NCBI taxonomy): Eukaryota > Metazoa > Chordata > Mammalia > Primates > Hominidae > Homo > Homo sapiens. Next base: position 107,677,814 of record NC_000010.11, on the reverse strand, counting down.
TGAATTAAAAAATAGGTATATGTTAATCATGAACATAAATGCAAAATCCTTAAAATATCAGCAATTCAAATCCAGCCAAATAGAAAATAATACTTATTTACTAAAGAATAAAACATTGATTCAACATTCGAAAACCAAACAACTTAATTTTGTATATCAATAGGCAATAATGAAGAAACATTTGATCATCGCAATGAATGCAGAAAAAGCACTTGTCAAAATTCAACATCTATGTGTGATTCAACAAAACTCTCAACAAGCTAAGAATTTAAGGGAATTTCTTCAAACTAGCAAAGTAATATACAAATAAACAACAAAAAAATTTGCAATTAATATCAACTAAAAAATTTAATGGAGAAAGACTGAATGTTTTTCACTTAAATGGAGAAGAATAAAGAATGTCTTATCTCACCAATCTATTCTACATTTTACTAGAGGTCCCACTCAATGCAATAAAATAAGAATAAATAAATAAAAGGCATAATTATTGAAGAGGTAAGTATAATTGTGTCTAGCTAAATATTGCATTATAGTCTATGTAAAAAGTCTACAAGAAGCTACTAGAGTAGTTTAATGTATTAAGGGATCAAACATACAAGTTCAGTCTACAAAAATGAAATATAGTTTCAGCAGCAAAATGGGATGTTAATTTTAAAAATTAAGATAGTATCAAAAACATAAGATATTTAGGAATAAACTAAGTAGAATGTGTAAGACCACTAACCCAAAAAATATAAAAACAAAACCTAAAAACGCACAAAAAAACTAAAAATTTTTAAAAATATAAAATGTCATGGATTGGGCTTAAATAGTGATAAGATGTTTACTTTCTCAAATAGTTCTTTTGGTTCAATGTTATTCCAATTATAGTTTGAGACGATTTTCAAAAATAAATAACAATTTCATGTATTCATTCTAATTTTATGTTAGTGTGTAATCAATCTAGAAATAAATTAAACATCATTAAAGTTAACAAATTATTCTCTTCAAGAGGAACTGTTAAGATCATGTATGAAAAAGCACCGACTAGAAGAAACTATTTGAAAATATATTTATCCCAAAAGAGTTCTATGCAAAAAAAAGATAATTCATACAACTCAACAATAATAAAGAATACCAACCCAAAAAAAAAGTGTACATGAGCTGCCTCAATAATGTCTTTATGTCTCTTTTTATTCCCAATCCAGAATCTAATTCATTATCAAAGATCACATTTAATTGTTATGTCTATTTATTCATCTATAATCTGCAGCTTTCTTGACCTTGATATTTTTGAAATACACATGGACCAGATGCTTTATAGAATATCCCTCAATTTGAGTTTGTCTGATGTTTATCATGCTTAAGTCAAAGTCATGCATTGTTTGCCAGAAGTGTTCTTGTATTCTTCTCAGTGGATCATCAGGAGACATGTTGTTGATTTGTGCCAATATTAATGATGATTAATTTGATCATTTCTTGAAATTGGTCTCTGCCAAGGTTTTTCTTTCTAGAGTTACTATGTTTTTTATCTTGGTAACTGATAAATGATTTGTGAGGATGTATTTAAGACAATATAAACATTATTTTCCCAGTAAAGCTGTTTCATTAGTGTTTGCATCCATTGATAATTTTCTAACTCCATCATTATTAAATACTTAGTTGTCATTCTACTATAAGAATACAACATCCTTTCTCATTTATTTGTTTGTGAAAATTATTTTTCTCTCTCTTGAAACTCCGGCAGTCACTTTTCTTCCTAGAGACAAAGTTATCACTTTCTATTGTATTTTTTTATATATTTTATAAATAAACCAAATTAGAGTCTTGTTATTTTCTTTCTTTTTTCCCAAATAGACATTGATTTGTACCTTGATTTTTTCATTTAAAAATAAATTTTGGAGATTATTTCAATCAGTTCATGAAGAGATTCCTCATTCTTTTTTATACGTCTGCTCTTGTTGAATGTAACATGAGCTGATGAATCAGTCTACAAATCATCGACATTTGTTTTTTGTCAAGGTTTTTTTTTTTTTTTTTTTCTTTGAGACAGAGTATCTCTCTGTCACCAGGCTGGAGTGCAGTGGCACCATCTTGGCTCACTGCAACCTCTGCATCCTGGGTTCAAGTGATTCTCCTGCCTCAGCCTCCCGAGTAGCTGGGACTACAGGTGCGCACCGCCACGCCCAGCTAATTTTTGTATTTTTAGTAGAGATGGGGTTTCACCATGCTGGCCAGGATGGTCTGGATCTCTTGACCTCGTGATCCACCTGCCTCGGCCTCCCAAAGTGCTGGGATTACAGGTGAGCCACCGCGCTTGGCCCAAAGTTTTGTTTTTACAAGTGGCAATGCAATAAATACCCTTACATTTATATCATTTCACACCTACTGGAAAATATTGTTAGTTTAAATTCACAGAATCAAATTTACTTCCTAAAAAGTTGTGTGCATTTAATTTTAATATGGTTGCCATATTGTGCTTAATAAAAATAGTATGAATACACACTTCTACCACCAATGTAATTAATTGCCTCTTTCTCCAGAGCCTTGACATGTAGCATAATTTTTTAAACTTGATAACCTTATAAATAGAAAATCGTCTTAGTATAATTTTATTTTGAATGTATTTTGTTTTCTGTGACAGTAAGCATTTTTTCAGTTTAATGCCATTTTAATTCTGTTTCTGATAAATTTAATAATAATGTTAATCCCTTTTCACTGGATCTTTGTTGTTTATTTTTCTTATGGGCTTATAGGGGTTCTTTCCATACTAGAGAAAGTAGCCCTTTGCTTGTAATATGAGTTTTAATTTTATTTCCATTTTGCTACTCATATTTTTACTTTGTTAATGGTAGCTTTTGATATTCAAACATTATTATTATGTTGAAATTGAATGCAGTCTTCTAAATGTAACACAAACTTCAGAAAATAGAATTGTGGTTGTCAGAAACTAGGGGAAGGAGGAAAGGGGATTTATTGTTTAATGGGTATAGGGTTTCAGTTTTGCAAGCTGAAGTGTTTTGGTGATAGATGGTGGTGATCATTGTCCAACAATACAAATGTATTTAATATCACTGAACTGTAAACTTAAAAACAGTTGAGTGTAAATTCTACATCTGTTTTACCATAATAAAGACAATTTAAACAAGAAAGTAACCTAACAACAATCAAGCTAAGTACATCTCTATACACAAGAGTGTAAATTTCTGTGTGGAATGGTGATTTCTATATTGAAATAAAAAAGATTTAGGGGCCGGGCGCGGTGGCTCACGCCTGTAATCCCAGCACTTTGGGAGGCCGAGGCGGGCGGATCACGAGGTCAGGAGATCGAGACCATCCTGGCTAACACGGTGAAACCCCGTCTCTACTAAAAATACAAAAAATTAGCCGGGCATGGTAGCCGGCGCCTGTAGTCCCAGCTACTTGGGAGGCTGAGGCAGGAGAATGACGTGAACCCGGAAGGCGGAGCTTGCATTGAGCCGAGATCGCGCCACTGCACTCCAGCCTGGGTGGCAGAGCGAGACTCCGTCTCAAAAACCACCACCACCACAACAACAACAACAAAAGATTTAGGAATAAAGAAGGTATTAGGGTCAGAATCAAGTCACAGAAGCAGAAAAATCATTCATTGTTGAAGCTGGAGATGTAAGTGATTGAAGTCCAGAGAAAGTTTTCTCTAGAAAAGCTTTACAGTGCTATAATTACTCACCCTATCCACCTGGGATATGTCCATAAGGGGGGAGCAGTATTATTGAGTTACTTTTGGTACTGCCACAAGTGAAGAGAGGGGTCCATATTAATTGAGCTCTCAATGCTGTCAAATAAGTTCTAGCTCTCTATCTTTGACCCATTCTCCTACTCTGGATCTTGATGCCAGCTTTGATTGCTGAGAATGACATAAATGACATTTCTAGAAAAATATCTTGGGACAAAGAGTATCAGGCTTCTCTTCATTACGTGACAGCTTGATACTTCTAAGTTTGCAATTCCAGTAATTTATTTGTATGAGACCATGTTTAAAGTTTTTTTTTAAGTTTTCTCCTTAGTTTCATTGTCAACAACTCTGGAAAATATGGGAAGCTGCTAGAAAAAGGCTGTTTTTGAATGAATCATGAGCCTGGAAGAAAGAAGTGAGAGAAGACCACTGTGTGATAGTTATGGAAGACAGGGTGTTAGAAAGCAAATGCGGTACTCCCTGGCTGGGATATAGAGATACCAGGGATATAGAAAGCCTGGTTTTACGTTAGTCTAACAAAAAAGGAGAAAGAATGCATAAGATAGTGAGAAGCACTTACCATGGCTCAAACTGCAGGATTTCCTATGCCATTGGTCAGGTTAATTTCTTCAGCCAACTAAAGACATCTTGTTTACTCAGCAATGAGATTTAGCTGCAAAACAAGAGCACGCATTTTCACCACCATCACTTACTAAGTACATGTCACGTACCAGGATCTCTAAATTTCTTTACAAGCACCGTATTTAATTCCCACCACAATCCTATGACATGGGAACTCTTATAAATAATGCTGAGATACAGAGAAACTGAGGCTTAGAGAAAGTAAGTAATTTGCCTAAAACTTCACTACTACTGTCTATTACTGGTGGTGCTTCAATCCAGATCCATCTTAACGGAAATGAAATGGGAGAGTTCCCTGATTACCCTTACAGGATGGTGCGACGTGAGTGTGGATCACCTGCTTGGTTGCCCCTAGGAGGAGCATTTAGACAGGCAGGAGCAGAGATTAGGGTGAGCACTTTTGGTCTCCAGCTCCACGGCAGTGTCTAGGAGTGGGTGTCTGTGACTTCTGAAGCCCAAGTGGGTGTGTGTTACAAAGTTCTTTCAGATTTGCCATCTGCAGATGGCTTATGTGTTAATCAGCTCAATGGACCCTCTGCTTTATCACAAGGGCAGAAGGCCAGTGTGACAGCCTTTTGTATCCCGAGCTCTTGCCCAGTGTCCTGAAAGAATCAGATCACATGCAGGCTTCTCTTCTCCCTTTTTCTGCTACATTGTTCTGCCATTGCTTGTCTGCTGGTCTGAACGTTCAGCCACTTGTGTGTGTGCCCACTCAGGTCTTGGGTTAATATGGGCACAGGATCGGGGGGCATGGCAAGCCAGTACGATCTTGGAAAATGCAACATTTGGGTGTGAAAACAGGAGTGCCTGTTCTCACTTAAATCCATAGGCCCAGGCCCAAGAGTGGAGCCCTGGCCAGGAACCCTGCCCTTCTCTATCCAGCACTTTTCCACCCCCACCCCCATATCGTAAATGCCTTAAATCTTGGGCTGTGTAACTAAATATTGTTAATATTAGGTAACTTTTTAGACAATTAGAACCAAAGGAATACTTTCTCATATTTAGGATGTGTGTGTTCTGTGGGTAGAAAGGGAGCAAGTATCCTAGGGCTCTCTCTATTTTATCTTGTCAAGGAAGGCCTCTGGCTTGCCACCAAGTGTGAATGCCCGTACAATTAACCAAGCATTATTGAAGTGAACTCTAGCTTTAAAACAGAAATATGCTTTTGAAAGCAATCATAAGAAAAGCAGGGCTTAAAAAAGTCAGCAGTTTTGAAGCTGAAAGAAAAAGGTTTATAAAGAAAACTCTATTAAAGTCATCAGCTTTCTCTTGCTTAAGGTCAAAAATTTAGAGCTTGCTGGAATACTATTGTATTACAAATGAGTTCCAAGAGTCATCTGTTTTCTTGCTCTTGTCAGGTTGATGCCTGGGGTCTTTCTATTTGATCATTGTTGTGCTAATGACTGTGAACCACTGAATAAACTATGATACCTACAGATCTAAAATAATGAGAAAGAGAAAAAGAGAGACAATGAATATGTGGACAGAGGAATATCAGTTTTGCTCTTCTACATTATGGAAGTCAATCTGATATAGATGCTATAGATTTATAGGTGAAAGCAAGGAAATCTGTCAGCAAGTAAACACAAGCACATTAACCCTTCTTGAAAGTCAAAAGATTCAGGGTGGAATGGGTATGAGGCAAGTTCTTCCCTAATGTGTATTTGGCTACCTCATGGAGATCAAAGTTCTATTCCCAGGAGACTATGCTTCAAGGCAAATTAGCCATTTACATAATGCATCAAGGTCAAAAAAGATATTTTTAACCACTTAATGAAACAAGTGCATGACTAGAATTTGAATCTTATCAGAGATAGAGAAATCAGCCAAGATGTGGTTGCCTAATTCGAGATACATATATAAAATATTTTTGATTTTCTTTAGGGCAAGCATTTAATAACTATATGAATACATGAAAGGATGAAAGGAAAAATAGGAAAGGAGAGGAGGGGAATAATGGTCTTAAGTATCAGGATTTACAAACATGTTCTGCAACTCTGGAGCAATCATTGTGTGTCAGGTTTTGATCTATGAAATGGTTATAGCTGGAAGGAGGATCAGTGATCATCCTGGAGTCTATGAGGTTAATTCAGCAAGGAATTTCAGTAATCATTTACTCTGTCTCTGGTATTTATAGTGATGAACTTGAGAATCAAGGAAATTTAATAATTAAAATGATAACTGATACGGTTTAGCTGTGTCCCCACCAAAAATCTCAACTTGAACTGTGTCTTCCAGAATTCCCACGTGTTGTGGGAGGGACGCAGGGGAAGGTAATTCCATCATGAGAGCTGGTCTTCCTGTGTTATTCTCATGATAGTGAATAAGTCTCACAAGAACTGATAGGTTTATCAGGGGTTTCCACTTTTGCTTCTTTCTCATTCTCTCTTGCTGCCACCATATAAGAAGCACCTTTTACCTTCTGCCATGATTCTGAGGCCTTCCCAGCTATGTGGAACTGTAAGTCCTAGTAAACCCCTTTTTCTTCCCAGTCTCCAGTATGTCTTTATCAGCAGTGTGAAAACAGAGTGTTACAATAACTCCAGTCAATGCCAAAGCCAGAATTAAAAACCAGGTTTTCTGATGTTATCTTCATTGACTATTTGAACTTTCCATTAATTTGAGCCCAGAGTGAAGGTCAATAAAATTTTAGTGTTTTTTCTTGCATTTCTTCCCATGTTGTTTATATTATATGTTATTTAACTTTATTCATTTCTTTCAAATACCTGTTGAGAACTGATATGATTTAGATCTGTGTTCCCACCTAAATCTGAAGTTGAATTGTAATCCCCAGTGTTAAAGGCAGGGCCTGGTGGGAGGTGAGTGGATCATGGGGTTGTTTCTCAGGAATGGTTTAGCATCATCCCCGGTACTGTTATTGTGATAGTGAGTTCTCACTAGGTCTGGTTGTTTAAAAGTGTGTGATACCTCCTCTGTCTCTGTCTCTCATCCTCCTCCTCCAGCCATGTGGAGTGCCAACTCCCTCTTTGCCTTCCTCCGTGATTGTAAGTTTCCTGAGGCCTCCCTAGAAGCTGAGCAAATGCGAGCATTATGCTTCTTGTATAGCTTGCCGATCCATGAGCCAATTAAACCTCTTTTCTTTATAAATTACCTAGTCTCAGGTTTTTCTTTCTAGCAGTGAGATAACGGACTTATATGAGCACGTTTTAAATGCCAAGTTCTATACTGGGCACTGGGGACTCAGGAATGAATAAGGTAGACATTATCTTTGCCCTCATTGAGCTAACAATGTAATGGAAGCCAGATATTTAGCAAGTATTTATAAGGTTAAATCGTGTTGGGAAAAGTGGAGTCTGATCGGATCCTTGTCAAATCAGGCTTTATTTTTATTTTTCAGATGGTGAAAAAATAAAAAAACTTTCCAGGAAATTATTAGGCAAATGTTACAGCTGGAACCTGGAACTTTGACTAATGGTTTGAGATTCTTGACACTTTACATCTTATGTTTACATGAAAAGAAACATAGGCTTATATCTTAATCATTTTAAAGTTAGATGACAAAGAAAAATGGTACCAGACAGAGTTAAACAGGTAAGGAAGGCTTTATTCAAGACTTTATGGCAATAAGGAGAGAGACTATTGCAATAAGAGAGAAAGATTGAACTTGGTTCACTGAAGCAAGAGGCAGTACTTTTCCACAATGCACGGGGGTGAATTGTGGAAAAGTAGTGGAGGATATTAGTGGGGAGATTTGTAAAAGTGAGGTCATATGGGGATTTGCTAATTGGAACATATGGAAGTTAGGTTCTTACCCTACCACAGAGACTGGGAGGTAGGGGTGCTGTCTTTCCTGATGACTAAATATCAAAAGTTGGCTCTCCTGTCTTTGAGAAAGATATTCCTGGGTTGTAAAACTGACAAATGTCTGGGAGAAGATTTACATCTCAAAAGATCAGAGAAAGTGTTTTCAATTGCCAATTTTTAAAAGTCAATGCACTAAGAAATGTACTAAAGTTTTCTAAAGCCAACACACCAGAAACATCAGCAACACATGATCTATACATGTTAAACCATCCTTCCTAGACAACTTTTAATCTTGCTGCTTCCTAAAGATGACACAAGAAGAATAGTAGTGTTTCACATTATTTTTCAAAGTTTGATCTGTGGACCATCTGCATAAGAATCACTTGAAGTATTATTTTAAGTATCAATTCCCACTTTTCTTCTCCTACCCAAGATTGATCTGTGTTGCAGTCTCAGAATTTTTTTGTTATTGCAAATGAACATCCCAAATGATTTTTACTCCAGCGTTCCAGAGCCACATATAAAAAACACTGGCAAATGGAGATAAAGAGGCCAAAGAATGCAAATTCTGTTCTTTCTGGGTGTGTGTATGTGTGTTTAGAGAGAGTGAGAAAGAGAGAGGGACAGGGACAGAGACAGAGAGAAGGAAAGAGAGAAAATATCAATGTGAACATGCATAAATTACAAGAAAAAATGCATTTAATCATCTAGTCCTTTTTCTAAATCTTACTCATATCTTCTTCAGACTGTAATCATATACCTTAGTATGAAGTCCATTCTAATCATTTTTGCAGGAAGAAAAGTCCCCAGATGGTCTTGGCCAATGCATTTATTCCCCCCTTGCTTGCAATCTTTGGGCAGATTCTACCAAGAACGCAACATCCTGAGATATGGAGGAAATTTCCAGAACAATACAGGGTATGATCTCCTTCCTTCTAGAACAAGTTGTTCTACATCATGTTTACTCAGTGATCCAATTTCCACTCAGGGTATAAAACCTAAAGCAGAATGCTTTTAAGGTCCCTAGGATTCTGTGTAAAAAGGGGCACATGGAGACAAGACTCTAATTGACCTGTGAGGCTTTCCTCAGCCTTCAAGGACTGGCTCAAAATGAGTCCTAGGCTTCTGTTTATCCCTGCATTCTGTATTTGAGTAATAAATTTGCTTTACCTGATGGGTTGCATGGTGTTCTGTCTCATTAGACTCATACTCTGGCAGCTGGGTCTATGCAAAACCTCCTGCCAGATGTAAGTACCTTTGCAATTCTACATCCAGTTTTAAATTTGTACTTTTAAGAAAAGCATATATGACAATGTTAGTTGTCTTTCATGTCTGAGTGTGAGTCTTATTATTAAAAACCCTTAACTACAATTTAAATAGTTTCCTCACCGTCTTTTGATGATCATGGCTGGGAAACAGATCATCTTTCCTCCTATCTGTAGGATGGGAGAAGCCAGTAGGACAGAAATATATAGAAAAAAAATAGATGGTGGTGGAGGCAAATTTTTTATCTCCTCTTTAGCCCTGAGGTCTGAATCATTCAAGCTGAGAACTCAACAGAAGAAGGCACGACGCACGGCAAAATATACAACAATACCATATCACACAGCAGATTTTCTGCCCTAGGAAGAGTTTACTGAATATTCGCTGAGGCAAACCAAATTCCAGGGCTGCAAGTTTTCTGCAAATTCCTTGGATTATATTTGTCTGAAGAAGGATGTCAAACAGTGAACATCTGGAGAAACCAAGCTTTTTTGCCTTTTTTGAGAAATGGCTATTTCTGCTGTATAAATCTTACAGTTAGACCTTTTAGATCTGGGGCAGTACAAAGCCTGGGAAGTGGAAGGGCACTTTGAACAACAAACTGCTACAAAATCACTAACCCCACGGGCCCCACTGGAGAGTAATAGGTGTGAGGACCAGACTTTCGTTTCTCTCCAAGACTGGCATCATCCCATCCTGCAATTCTGGCCTATCCTACCCATTCTGGCCTATCCATCCCAGGAAGTACCCCATCCAGTATTTTCCATTACATTCTCTAATTATGAAAACCTACCATCTTGTTTTGTAATTTTATTTTGTAAGCTAATATACATTGAGTTTTATGATATGTCAGACTCTTTGCTACATTTTTTAGGGAGTTGCAATTAATATTTATGAATTTAATTTAAATTTATAATATTATATGTATTATGAGATAGTTTCTACAAGTATCCTCATTTAAAAAATATATAAACTGAGGTTTCTGGAATACAAATAATTTGGCCAATGTCACGGAGACAGGGCACATACAATTCTATCTATCCTTTTGCTCTTTTTTCCTGCTGTCTAATTTGGGCAAAAGTCCTAAATACAAGTAGTGACTTAATGGTAGACTTACCACAATGTATTTTCTCTGAAAGTTAAATGGGTATTACTAATTATGCTGGGGCAGAAGGAATAAACTGGGATTGTCTCAGGAAAAGCAAGGCATGTTGTCATTATACTTAGATAAACCTATTTCAACTGTACCCTGCACTAATATCAGACTTCACTCGCTACAAAGCTTCTTCCATTTAGTCTTTCTTTTGATGTTCACATCAACCCTCCGAGAGAAAGCAGAAGAGTAAGAAGCATTCCAATTGTTGCAGGCCTGGACAAGGACAAGGAACGAGTCTCCTGATTTGGAGCCAAGTGCTCCATTCACTTGGAGAAGTCTTTCCACAGCTGGTGACCAAAAGTGGAAATTAGAAACCTCACCAGGAGTATTATAGAGGGAATACTTGAGGCAGGAAAGCATCTTTTGTGTCCTTTCCATATCAGCACCAAGGCTACCTTGCCTTCCTTTAGCTAAAGGCCAATTTCTTCAATCCAGTGATACCACCAATCATGAACTGGGGTTATGTCAGCATGCGTATCAGGGGACGTAGGGCCCTGGAGAGTTTGAGAACAGGAACTCATCCTCCCGTGGTAAAGAAGCATTTACCTGAAGTTCAAAATTTTCTTTAATTTCATTTTAGTTTATTTTTATCTGATAGATAGATAGATAATTTCCATCTCCATATTTATCTGTCTATCTACCTATCCATCCATCTATCTAATCTCTTTCTCTAGGTTTCTACTGTCTAGGTGAGAAGTGATCCCAGTAGAACCAAATTGGAGTGAACTGAGGACTTTCCCTAATGGGTCTGAGGATACGTGTGGCCACAGTGGTTAATAAAAGTAACTTAGGTTGCATTATACTCCTTTACTGTAACTTCCTCCTCTAATTAAGGCTTTTAATTGCACAGAAAGGCCAAAGGTTTTCTCTAACATACTTCCAGTTTAAGACTTTTTTCAGCCGGAGTGTAAAGCCAAGGTTTCAATTCTCCATTTCTTTCTCTAGGGAAATTCGTGTTTTATAAGCAGAGAATGAGAGAGGGGGCGAGAGAGAGAGAGAGAGAAAGGAAGAAGAGAAAGAAAAACAACGAGGAGGAGGAGAAAGAGGAGGAGGGAGAAACACTACCACCAGCAACATCAAAATACCAACATCATACAAATTGTTGCTCTGATGTCCTCTGGGACTCAGGCTCCTAGGATGAAGCTTCCGACTCTTTCAATTTTACATTTTTTTCTTGATTAAGGAATTTGGTTTAACTTCAAGAAGGAGAACTCAGACTCTGACTATGGAAAGAATTCTTCCATCTGTTCTATTTCAAATCTTTCACTGAAAAGATGTAGCTTGACTTTTCTTTCTTTTCATTTTTTTCTTTTCTTCTCATTCTGACTTTGCTCATTTATTACTAAAAAATAAGTATTTGTGATACTAACCCTAAAAGCAGGTCATACATTACACCCATTTTAAAGATAAAGACACTAGACTCAAAGATACCAAGTAACCTGCAAGAGGGTTGTTCAACCTGCAACAGAGCTTGTGTTCAAACCAGGTCTGTGTGACTCCAGAGCTCACTCATTAAATCATGAATTAGGATATACTATTTTCCCTGGTGAAAGAGGGTTGGAATTTTAAAATAGGCAACCCTGCAAAGTGGACGCTCTAACTTTTTAACCTATTTCATCTGCACTTGGAGAAAAGCTGACTCAGCCTGTTGGGGCTGATGGAAACATGAATGCGTTAGTGGAGGCTTTTAAAGGACCCAAGTTCATTCTGGGTCGGGTCGTAGAAATATGTGGTTGTCCAACTCAAAATCATTGATGTAGTGATAGTAATTAGGTTTTTTTTTTCATGGTGGATTGTGCAGTGTTTAAAATAGGGTTCAGGGGAAAATGTGTTATTTAGCAAAGCATCATTACAGCTTTAGAGAAAAATGACCCATCATTTGTCTTTAATTCCAGTTTTTTTTCTCTGATCCCTAATTTGGATCCATGGTTTCCTTATTAATTGTATAAATGGGATTAATGACTTCATACCAGCAGAGAACATAAAGTACTTAAAAACTTCAGCCATATGACACATTATTGTAGTAGCAAATGGTGAAGTATTTAGCATTTATATAGTGCTTTGTTTGCAGTGTGCCTATTCTGACTGCAAATTCGCACACACATTAAGATCCTAATGATCACTTTGTGCATTTCTATTTGTCATGCTTGTATTTGTAGCATTTAAAATTTGTAATATTAAGCAAAATTAATGCTCATGAAAGCCTGCAGCTGCCTGCCCTATGCGATTTGGGACCTCATTTATTCACAGAGCCTTTGCCTCCTGTGCTGAGCATTCTAAACCCAAGTCTCCCTGACCACAAAGCCAGGGGTAGGCCACTTGGGATCAGGGACCCTAGATCATTCATCTTTTGTTGATAGAGATTTGAGTGATGCCCTTGTGTTATTTGATTTATTAAGGGGTCTCTATTTGGGGCAGCTTCTCAATTGAGAGTTCTCTGTTTCTGACGGCAAAATTTCATAGCCTTTCAATGCCTTTAAATAGGGTTAGACTTTTCTTGAGGTCCTCATGTTCCACTTGACCAACTCTCAGCTTATGGTGATTTAGGGAAATGCAGGGTAGCATGTGGTGCTTTTTCACACCTTTATATTGTGAGGCCATCTATGCCTCTCATAGTTTCTGTATGTTAAGCGGTGATAGTGGTGATGATGATGATATATTACCATGATATATTATATGTGATGATTGTATATGATTATATTATATAATATTGTATTATTCAGGGTTCTCTAGAGGAACAGAACTAATAGGATAGATACGTATATGTATAAAGGGGAGTTTATTAAGTATTAACTTACATGGTCACTAGGTCCCACAGTAGGCCATCTGCAAGCTGAGGAGGAAGGGGAGCTGGTCTAAGTCCCAAACCTGAAGAACTTGGAGCCCAATATTCAGAGGCAGGAAGCACCCAGTGCAGGAGAAAGATGTAGGCTGGGAGGCTAGGCCAGTCTAGTCTTTTCACATTTTTTTCTGCTTGCATTATATTCTAGCCACATTGTCAGCTGATTAGATAGAGATATGGTTTGGCTATATCCCCACCAAAATCTCATCTTGAATTGTAACTCCTACAATTCCCACATGCCATGGGAGGAACTCGGTGGGAGGTGATTGAATTAGGGGGGATGGGTCTTTCCTGTGCTTTTCTCATGGTAGTGAATGAGTCTCATGAGATCTGATGGTCTTCAAAATGGGAGATTCCCTAAAATGGGAAGCTCTCTCTCTTTGCCTGCCATCATCCACATAAAATGTAACTTGCTTCTCCCTGCCTTCCACCATGATTGTGAGGCCTCGCCAGCCAGGTGGGACTGTAAGTCCAGTTATACCTCTTTCTTTGTAAATTGCCCAGTCATGGATATGTCTTTATCAGCAGCATGAAAACAGACTAACACAGATGGTGTCCACCCGGTTTAAGAGTGAGTCTGCCTTTCCCAACCCACTGACTCAAATGTTAATATCCTTTGGCAATGCCCTCACAAACACAACCAGGGTCAATACTTTGCATCCTTCAATCAAGTTGACACTCAGTATTAACCATCACAAGTCCACCCCTTGTCAACTTGAACCCATACACATCTCCTGAGATTATATATAATCTTCAAATAAAGACAATAATGAGGTCATAATTATGCCTAACATAATACAGCTATCTTTCCTACAACCAGAAACACACCAATACCCAGCCCAAACACTATTACATAAAGTTAACAATACTTAAATGCTAATATGAATTTGATAAATCTTAGGTCACATGATAAAGGAAAAAGGAAATGAAGATATTTTCTTAGTACAAGTGTATACAGGCACAAACATGTTTTTAACAAAAGAAGGAGGAAACACTCATGACAATTACAGTCCTTATTTCTACAGCTGGTCACGTGGTCATAGCTGGTATCGATGACTACCTTCTTCTACTACCCATTCTGTATTCCCTTAGTCTTCAGTAAGCACCCCAGTAGGTCATATGGGAGAGTTGAACAGGGATGTAGTGGGAATCACCTCCCGTGCATCTTTCAAGTCCTTCATGGTGACACTAATCTCCGCAATCCCTCCAGAGGTGCGATATTGCTTTTGATTTACAATTTTTCTAGGTAGAGACAGCTCTAATGGCTTCCATTTGGCCTTTCCCACCATAATAGCCCTCACCCTACCAGTCAGGGAACCAATGTGGGGGTTTTGTCAGCTGCTAAGTATGTCTATGCCAATTATGCATTCTTGCACTGGGGAAATGACCACAGGATGAGTATGGGGACCCACTGGACCCATTGTAAGTCAGACTTAAGTTAAAACTGCATTAATTACCTGACCTCCACAAGCCCCTATTTTAACTGGGGAACCACAATGATGTTTTGAGTTCCCTGGAATCAGTGTCAGCTCAGAGCCAGTGTCCACTACTCCCCGAAATGTCTGATCATTTCCCTTTCCCCAGTGCACAGTTACCCTGGTAAAAAGCTGGAGGTATCCTTGGGGAAAAATGTAAGAAAGATTAACAGCATAAATTTTTGGTAATGTAGTGGAGTTCTTCCTCAAGGGGACCCAGCATCCCCTTCATTCAAGGGGTTCTGGGTCTGTAAACTGGCTCGAGTCTGGAAATTGATTGAGGGGCTGTGATTCTCTGTTTTTATAATTCAAATTAGTCTTTTGTTCATTCGACCCAAAAGTTTTCTGCCTATATAAATTAAGTAGGAATGCAGAAGGCTTCCTATCAATTTCACTTCTAGGAACACCGTGATTAGCCAATGCCAGAGCTCTGCACAAATCAGACTGTTCTGATTGCTTCTTTGCCACTGTTGTCCATTACAGTAGCTACACCCCCTTTTCCTTTGATGGTTGAGTGCCCCCACTTGGCCCCTGCCACCTCAGGATTCAATTATTTCCATTGTATTTAAATTTTGTAGTTGAGTGACTGAGGTTCCCACTGTTAGACCTGGCATACAGAGAAAAGCAATTACAGGCCTCTTCAAAGATGCAGATGATGCCTTCACAAATCTATTTCACAAGATATTGATCAAAGTTATGTCTTCTGGACCCTCCCAGCTGGGGTGAGTAAGTCTGAAGTGACTAATCCACTCCACCATCTCAATCTCCCTAAGCCTTTGGATCCCTTTCTCTACATTAAACCCGGGGAGATCAGGCATTTCCAGCTTCCTCACAGTGGGCCGTCTTTTAATCCATATTTCAGCTAACCAAGCAAATAAACTATTAGAATCCTTTTTAACTCCCTGAGCTGCAACACTAAATGCAGAGTCAGTCATACTGAGTGAGCCCAAATCAATAAATTCAGCCTGATCCAACTCTATGTTCCTTCCACAGTTATCCCATAACCTTAATGTCCATTCCCATGCCAGTTCTGTTAATATAAATTAGAAAACTCAAAATTCCCAGGCCAGATTTCTGTTACTATACATTAGAAAACTCAAGCAGTTCTTTTCAAGTGTAGCACACCTCCTCATGGGTCACACTCTCAACCTCACCTCTAGGGGCCTGCCTCAACTTTAGTCTAGTTATAGGTTTAAATTAAACAGGGGTGTTGGGTGTGGCTCCTGAGGAGAATCAACATTATCTTGCCCTGCAACTGCCTCAGGGAAGGCCATCGCCATTGCCTCAGGCTGTGCAGGGTTTGTCTCTCAGACAAAGGTGGAAACACTGATGACAGCATGGATTGAGGTGGGGATGTTGCCAGTACCGGAGATGGGGAAGCTGTTTCTTCTGGCAAAAAAGGTTCATCAGAGTTAACAAATTCAGTGTCTCCAGCTTCATCGGGGTCCTTCCCACATGTCCCCATTCCAAGTTGCAGGGTCCCATTCTTTTCCAATCAGTGCCCTCACTTTAACAGCAGACACCTGGTGAGGCTGTGCATGTACCTTTTGTTGCAGGTCAGCTACTTGAAAGATAAGAGCTTGCATCTGTTTTTCCATGGTTTCGGCTCTTTCTCTACTGGAGATAAAAATGCTCGCTCAGGGCAATCTTACCAGATTTGAGACTCAGTATCTGCTTCTGAAGCCGGGAGTTAGAATCCCTGAGTTCATCATTTTCTTTCTTCACTTTGTCCACTGAACTTAGGAGCAACCAACCAACTTCATTGTGTTCCTTGGTTCTCCACATATAGTCCTAGGTATTACATACAGATTCATTCAACTCTTTGACTCTCATAAGCAGTGAATCAGGAATGTCAAATGCATTTATTTTGCATAACTCTCTAAACAGTTCATGCCAAGGACTATCAGTGTTCTCCATACTATTAGAAGTAAAGTCTTTAGCATTTTTGGGTCTAATTATATTAAGCAGCCAACTCCAAAAACCCCCAGATCAACAAAAGAAATTCATCCTTAATATTCTGTTCCTCTGGAACCACTCCTGGTACCAAAATCTGTATTAGGGTTATCTAGAGGGACAGAACTAACAGGATATATATATGTGTGTGTGTGTGTGTGTGTGTGTGTGTGTATGTGTATAAAGGGGAGTTTATTAAGTATTAACTCACATGATCACAAGGTCCCACAACAGGCTGTCTGCAAGCTGAGAAGGAAGGAGAGTCAGTGAACTTGGAGTCTGATGTTTGAGGGCAGGAAGCATCTAGCACTGGAGAAAGATGTAGGCTGGGAGGCTAGGCCAGTCTAGTCTTTTCATGTTTTTTTTCTGCCTGGGTTATATTCTAGCTGAGCTGGCAGCTGATTAGATGGTGCCCACCCAGATTAAGGGTGGTCTGCCTTTCCCAGCCCACTGACTCAAATGTTAATCACCTTTGACAACACCCTTACAGACACACCCAGGATCAATACTTGGCATTCTACAATCAAATCAATTTGACACTCAGTATTAACCGTCACAAAATATCATGTATTATTGTATAATAATAATAAATATTTCCGAAGCCCTTTTGTAAGTCCTCTCCATATGCCATCTTGCTTACTTCTCATAAAGCTTTTTCAGTTAATTACGCATATAATTTCCATTTTAGAGTGGAGGAAACTAAAACTTAGTTCAAGTGACTTGCCCATGACCCCTTATCTAGGAAGTCCCATTCTAGTACTCAGACCCAGGCAAGTGAAACTAAACCAGTGTTGAACCTTATATTTCACTCAAATCACTTGAATCTCAATGTCAGGGAGTAGAAAAATTTCATGCTGCTTTTTGAAAACAGGCAGTGATAGTTTAGTATCACCTATGGTCTGCTTTGTGCCTCAGATTTTTCTCATGCTCAGTTAGAAGCCAAAGAATTACCCTGGCATTAGATTCTTCTCTGCTTTCCCATTTACTTTTCTATCTCATTTTTATTTTTGTAAGGATGATTGCCACTTTCTCAGCATTGTGGTTTTCCTGTTCAGTATAGAAGTCTTAGTTTTCTTCATTTTATAATTTAAGACTTTCTACTCCCTACCCTAACAGGATTTAAGTGGTCTGTTTTGTTTTTTGTTTTGTTTTCTTTTGTTTTTAGACGGAGTCTCACTCTGTCGCCCAGGCTGGAGTGCAGTGGTGCCATCTAGACTCACTGTAAGCTCCGCCTCCCAGGTTAACGCCACTCTCCTGCCTTAGCCTCCCGAGTAGCTGGGACTACAGTTGCCCGCCACCACACCCAGCTAATTTTTTGTATTTTTAGTAGAGAAGGGGTTTCACTGTGTTAGCAGTATGGTCTCAGTCTCCTGACCTCATGATCCACCAGCCTCGGCCCCCCAAAGTGCTGCCATTACAGGCATGAGCCACCGCACCCAGCCTTAAGTGGTCTTTAAAGTATTGTTGTTTAATAACATGTTTGTGATGGTTAAGTGGTATCTACCAAGTGGATGCCTGTTTTTCTCTAAATAATACAAATTTCACTGAGATTTGGGACACTGGAACTTATTTGTTTGCTCCTTTCTCTGCCTTCTTATGTCTGGCTGTTGTAGCTTCCCTAGAAAAGCTCCCTAGGAAGGTCATCGGTGATACAGATTTATACTTGATGCTGGTAACTTAATGAGTACATCTATCAGGGAAATTGGCATCAATGACTGTGCATGGAGGTGCAGTGGGCAGGAGTGGGGGTGTTTAACTTAAAGAAATGCTTCTCTGTTGGTAGAGTTTTAAGTAAAAGCAATGTCTTCTTCTTTAAGTAGGGTTACTAGGTTTCAGACATGATACTAAGCTCTTCCCAAAATACCTCAAACTCTGGTCTCTTTGCCTTTTTATACTACATACTCCACTTAGTACTGAAATCTACCTGGTTGGAGAGCACATGTGATGGTCAGTCCAAGGGAACACTCATCCTGCCTATAGGTGAAGGTGGCCCTGATAGAGAATTGGCTGGGATCCCTCTCATTGCCAAGATGACATTTCCATCCAATGGATACGGGTATTGATCTGGCTTCTGGAGTTGACAGAGGGTGCAGGGGATTCCTGAACACTAGCTGCTGCTGAGGGTGCAGGTTTCTGTCACAGACTCAGGGAATCTGCAGTTGCAGCTTCTCTTTCAGCATAGTTAACTCTTTCCTTCTTCAATGCTAGTAGGAGAGGATCAGGGTGTCCTTTGTGAAGAAGGAGGGAAGACCTCTTTTTTGATTATCTGTGTACTGAGCACTTTTAGACTTACCACATGGAAAATTCTTCACTCTTTTTCTTGTTCAGAGTTGAGTACTGACACACTGCTCTATGAGGCAGACAGATGGAAACAAACCCTAGAGAACTCAGTTTGCAGAAGCGTTGCCATTCTTGGCTTTCTTATGGTCTTTATTATTCAAGGACAGGTGTTGGATTGAAGCCTTCCTCAACCTCTCCTCTCTAGCATGTGTCAACACACAGAGCTGGTAGTAGCCAACTCTGTGCACAAATATGTGGTCCCTGCCTTTTCTTCCGAAGAATATTTCTAAATTCTCAGCATTTACTTGAGGGCTTCTTTTACTCAATTACTATCCCACCTTGTTCTGGAGGTGAGAGAATCATGTGGTTCTGAGTTCATGTTCCCATTCCCATCACCCCCAGCCCCCGAAAAATGTCAGAAGAGGTCATTGTGTGGCTGAGCAATGTCCTCAGTGATCCAGAGTTGTCTGTCAAATGCCTGTCAACCTATAACAGGGGAAACTCAAACAATGTTTGAGTTTCAATTCAATTCAATTTGTAATGTACATTGTCGTCAAAACTGCAAATGCCACTTGAAGAGGTTTGTATCGCTTTTAGAGCTGCTTTAGCCCAGGGCCTCAGACTGCTACCATTTGTGGCATCAAGTCAGATTGAACAAATTCCTCTCTGATAGATTTAAGGTCAGCTGAGACCCAGGGAAAGATTATCCAAAGGGCTTGAAGATTAACTTATCTTCCTGTCCTCAGTAGGAAGTGGGTAAAAAAAAAAAAAAGGTCAGTGAATGAAAAGTGTCAGCATGTTGAATCTCATAAATCTATCAGAAACCTTAACTCTCCATGTACATGAAATTAGGCGAGTCATTTGTTTCCTGCAATGTTAATATGAATTATGTCCTGTGCATTATAGATAGGTCAACTGCTTTCTAGCTGGTAGCCAATCTTTAAGAACACAGGGATGTATTTTACAGTAATTTTAATCTGCTTCTATTTCAGTGCTTAGGATGCCAAGTAGCTAAGCATCAGATTAAAATAATAATGTATAATAGGTAAGTGCAAACTACTTTCAATTATGACCAATAAGATGTAATTGGTGATATTGAAAATACTGCAAATTGCATTGATTTTTACCTCCAACTGAAAAACTTGATGACACTTTTGCTTTCAACCTTACTGTTTCTTTTTTATGAAACAATCTGTACAGTGGAAAATAATACTTGTTACAAGTTTCATATACGTATCCTTGCTGTTTTGCTGAAGGAAATGAACTTGGATATAGGTGATCTGCAGCAACATTGTAATAATGGTCAGTTAATAAATGTCAACTTTTCAGTGCCTCCATGTGTTCCGATACTGGTTGTGCATCAAACAAGATCCCCCAGCAGAGAGGAAATATAAAGGGTGGGATTCAGCCCACGTTCCAGTTGCCAACTTAGCCACTCAAAGGAAGAGATCCTTTTTTCTAATTTACACAAAATCACCCTATGAGGAAACAGCAGGTCAGCTCCTGGGTGCCAAGAACAGACCAGAAGCTCTGCAGACTATATTATATTTAAAGTGCACAAAACCCATACAAGGTGTTTATTCATTTATGCACCCTGGTGATATGGGAACTGCTGCTCAGAGAAGTGAAACCCAGCACCACATAGCTGGTGCTTGGGCATGTTGAATTTCCAAACCTACCAAACTTATTTCTACTGGGCTTATTTCTACTGGGTCAGAAGGCCTCTACTGCACCTCAGGAAAGCTTTCTTAAGAAGAGGTGCTGTGTCATCTTTTAGATGAAGTGGAAACAAGGTGGCTTCTTTGTGGCTGCCCAGCCTGTTGCAGAATGTCATTGCATATGCTTTCCCTAAAGCATTCTCAGAGCATCAACCGCTGTGCACTGACCCTTCTTGGAAAAAAATGGTATGTTTGCACCTCAAATTATGGTTCAACAGCAAAACAATGGTTCTTTTTGTAATTAGAACTCATTTTGTGGACAGGAAGAGAAACTAGCTGAACTGAAGAGGGTGGTTGGAGAGAACACTAGGAAGGCTGAATGCTGGGCCTCAGGAAGTGCAAAACATTGACTTCTCTAAGCTTAATCTGCTTTGCGCATGGCTTCTCTGGATTTCTCTCCTCATCTGCTTCATTCTATTTTCTTCATATGCTTCCTCTGAGACTCTCTTTTTTTTTTGAGACGGAGTCTCGCTCTGTCACCCAGGCTGGAGTGCAGTGGCGTGATCTCGGCTCACTGCAAGCTCCACCACTCGGGTTCACGCCATTCTCCTGCCTCAGCTTCCCGAGTAGTTGGGACTACAGGCGCCCGCCACCACGCCCGGCTTTTTGTGGTTTTAGTAAAGACGGGGTTTCATTGTGTTAGCCAGGATGGTCTTGATCTCCTGACCTCATGATCTGCCCACCTCAGCCTCCCAAAGTGCCGGGATTACAGGCGTGAGCCACTGTGTCCGGCCTGGGAATCTAATTCTTTGTAACTCTGTGTGCATGTAGTCTAGTACTGTGAGTCCCAATCTTGACTTTAGAGCACCTCTCACATCCCCTTAAGATTTTCCCTCCAAGCCTCCTCCTTCAAATTCTCAACTTCAGGGATCCCATCGACTTAGTCTTCTTTCCAAGCAAGACATTCCACTCAGGTGTCTTCTTGAATTATATTTAGCTGGTGCTGATTTCTTCATAGGTTTGTTGGAAGAACAAGAAGAGGTAGGATTGGGGCATCTGGACATGCACTCTGAGGTTATGAGAACGGGGAGCTGACATTAAGGGGCATAGATTGGTAGTTTCCTAAAATAAATTTAATGTACTTTCCAGACTCTCTGGCTCATGTTAAACTTAGGAAGCATCACTTAATAGATCCAATCCATGGCAAAGGCTGCAAGAGCCAAAGTCCTATTTCGAGGATGAAGCCTGAAGAGGACAGAATAAATGGTCATGTCTATAATCCAAGCATCTTGGGAGGCCAAGGCGAGAAGAATGCTTGAAGCCAGGAATGTGAGACCAGTCTGGGCAACAAAGCAAGATCCCATCTCTGCAAAAAATCCAAAAACGTTAGCTAAGCATGGTGGCGGGTGCCTGTAGTCCCAGCTACTCAAAAGGCTTAGGCAGGAGGGTCACTTGAGCCCAGGAGTTTGAGGCTTCCGTGAGTTTTGATCGCACCACTGCAGTCTAGCCCAGGTGACAGAGGAAGACCCTGTCTCTAAAAATAAACAAGATAAAATAAAAACAAAAGAAGAAATGAGTCATAGGATAAAGATGGAGATTTCTGTAAAATTTTTGAAAAATAAATCTGGCTATCTTTATTTTTTGATGTCCCTTCCACTGCCACCCCTAAAAAACTCTAGCCTTACTAGGATCAATTGCCAGGGGACCTGAAGTGCCCTCAGCCAACTACATGTCATATCTGAAATGATTCCAGGCTCTACATCCCACCATCTGCTTAAAACCTTCCTTGTCATCTGGTCCCCTCTGCTGCAGATGTCTCTAGCTTCTTTCCTCCTCTTGAGTAGCCTGTGTAGATTCGCAATCAAATTCCAGACAGCCTCCTTTGCTCTGACCTGGCATAACCCTAAGAGGTAGCTTCTCATATGAATTATTGGGCTCCACCTGATCATATCCATCCTTGCCATTTTATCTTTATTTGCCTAACACGTATTAGACATTTACTTAAGTCAGACACTGGTTAGTTCTTCTCCTGCATTAAATCCATTTACTTTTCAAAAAGATGCCATATGGTAGCTCATATCATTGTCCTTATTTTACAGAGAGTAACATAAAGTTTTAGAGAGATAAAATATATCTAAGATAGCTCAGAAACTAGGGGGCCAAGATGGGAATTAAAGCCAGAATATGGAACCTATTTTCTTATGACCCACACTGTGTTGGGCAGTGCTACAGACCAAGACAAAAGCACCTAAAACTGATTGCATTTCCTGTGTATGAGGAGTCATGAGCCTGTTTCCCCAGTTGTTACATGTTTGGATGTGGTTTGTCCCCAACGAAACTCATGTTGAAATTTGACCCCCAATGTAGCAGAGTTGAGAGGTGGGCCTAGTGAGAGGTATCTGGGTCATGAAGGTGGATTTTCTATGAATAGATGAAGACCTTTCTCCTAAAGGGGTAAGTTCTTCCTCCAGAGGAATGGATTCATTTGCAAGAGAACGAGTTGTTAAAAAAGAATCTGAGGCCAGGTGCGGTGGTTCACGCCTGTAATCCCAGCAATTTAGAAGGAAGAGGCAGGAGGATCACTTGAGGTCAGGAGTTCGAGACCAGCCTGGCCATCAACGTGAAAGCCCGTCTCTACTAAAAATACAAAAATTAGCCAGGTGTGGTGGTGGGCACCTGTAATCCCAGCCGCTTGGAAGTCTGAGGCAGGAGAATTGCTTGAACCCAGGAGGCGGTGGTTGCAGTGAGCTGAGATCATGCCATTGCACTCTAGCCTGGGTGACAAGAGCGAAATTCCATCTCAAAAAAAAAAAAAAAAGAAAAAGAAAAGAATCTGGCCTCCTTGGTTTTTGCTCTCTTGCTTCCTTTCTTGCCATGTGATCTCTTTACACACAGCAACTCCACTTTCACTTTCTGCCGTGAATTGAAGCAGCCTGAGGCTCTCACTAGATCGGCTGTGCAATCTTAAACTTTCCAGCCACCAGAATCACAAGGCAAGCAAACCTCTGTTCTTTATAAATTACCCAGTCTTGGGTATTCTGTTACAGCAGTATAAGCTAGACTACGACATTTGTCTAAGAGTGGTCTCCCTACTTAGGTTTAAGTTTCTTGTGTGCAGAGGCAATTTAAAGGCACAGATCGAGTTTTCAAATATTTGTCTCATGGGACCTATGCCATATGTCAGCTTTCATCACCATCAAAGAAAAGCTGCCACTACGGAGTGTGTGTGTATGTGTGTGTGTGTTTTCTACTCAGCTTCAAGCTGGATTGCCTAGTATAAGGAGATTTAGAGTTGTTTCTCTGAGATTTAGACTAACTAGCAATGATTAGCCATCATCAAAGCCTAGGTTTTATTCTGGAGCAATTATCACTGTTACAAGCAGGAAATGTGATTATATGGCTTATTGTTTTCTTCTGATGATTAATTTATTTGGGACATTTGATGCTGCTGCTGCTGATGATAATGATAATTTGGCATTATCAATAATAATAATAGTAATTATTATTTGGCCCTGCCAAAAACCTCTAAATTCCTGCTCCTTTTTAAATGGAACACCATGTAGTGAAAAACATGGCATCTGTCATTTTCACTGAAAAAAATAAAAATCTGTCCTTTTAAGCCATCTCAATTGAAGGCAGAATTTAATAACATGCTTTTCCTGACTGCTGGGTAATTGAAAAAGAAATAAAAATAAAAAACTTTTAAAACTCTAATAAGTAAGAAAGGCATACTTCTTTATCTCTACACAGACCCCAGCCTTCTCAATGAGGTGATCTGAAAACCACTCAGGCCACTATGCTCTAAGGTAGCCAAGATGGATGAGAAAAAGAAACCAAGGATGGCTCTGAGCCACATCCTAAAATCAAGATTGTCATCTGCCCTTAGCACCCTGTTAGCTAATTTCTATGTCTGGGACAAGGCCATTAGAATTACCTGTATCCCCCTCTCCTAGCACAAACACACAGGCACACACTGTTCCAGTTACCTATCACTGCTACTTGAAATTTTAGTAGCGTAAAATAACAACCACTTCATTAGAGCTCACATCTTTGTGGATCAAGAATTTAGGCAGGCATTGGCTGAGAGATTCTTCTGTTCCATGTGGCATTGACAAAAGTCACTTCTGGTATACGGCTGGCAGACAGAGTGGCCTAGAGAGTCCACAATGGCTTCACTCATAGGCCTGACACCTTTCTGAGGATGGCTGGAAAGTTGGGTTCAGCTACACCTGTGGTCAGGAGACCCTACATGAGACCTTTCCAGCTTGGAAGCATCAGAGTAGACAGACTTGTTATGTCGTGGCTCATGGCCCTAAGGATGACTCTGTCAGTGAACAAGGAAGTCATTGTATGTTTTATGTGGCTTACACATGAAAGTTACATAATGCCCCTCTGCCATACCCAATTGGTAAAAGCTAATATAAATACATCCATAGTTCGGGGTATAGATCTCACCTCTTAATGGAAGGAATATTGAGGAATGTGTGTCCATGTTTTGAAATTGCCACAATTATGTACACACAATCTTTTTCATTTCAAATTCCAAGATCTGGGTATGAGCAGGAAAAATGTCCCAGCTGAAAGGAGTCAAAGTTCATATCTTTCTTCTTTCTCCATCTTGCCTTCATAATTGACTTCTTTCTATCTGTCTCAGTTTCCATAAAACCTTACAACATAAAGAATATTTATAGCTGAAGATATAGTCTGGAACTCGCTCTGCTAATTTTGAGTTGTATGACATTAGGTGAAACATTTGCTGTTTTAGCCTTAATGTCCTCATCCTGAGAATGGAGATGAAAATACCCTCTCACATGTTTTTGTAAGAGCAAAACAGGATAACATACGTCAAAATGCTTAACAGACATTACTGTTTTTATTGCTTTTATTAGAGAGAAATTTGTATATTGTATAAATAGTATGCCCCAACTTTAAGAGTAACTAAAATGTAGAGGTGGGGAGATTTTACCTTAACCAAATGAGCGACGTCTTGGCTTTCTGGGAAATTAAAGAAGCAACAAACTTACCCTTCTCACATTTACATTTTATTTAATGGAGGATTTTTTTCCACTTTCCCTTTCTCCTTAATGTTTTGTCTTATTTCAAATTTGTCAGATACTATGTGATGTCAGGAAATAGTCCTAAGAAGCAGTTTAGCTCTGTTGATGGTGAAGTGAGTTGTTTCTCTTCTCTCACTGCCCCTGAATCCTCTTACACATTACAAGTTGAAATTTGAACACAGTCTTTTGTGGTAACTCAAAAGGATCTCAGGCCTATAGAAAACAGGTAGGATAGATTGTTAGGCCAGTGAAATTTTGATATTCTCCCAAATCTTACCAATAACTAGCTGCTGATTTTTTTTTCTTTTCTGTCATAGGATAGGATACTCCTTTAGCAAAGAAATGAGTTTATGTGGCTCAGGTTCAAGTATACCTCATTATTGTGGGATGGTAGATGAAGGAATTAGCAGGCTTTTGTGTAATGTTAAGATCATGAGCTTTGGCATAAAACAAACCTGGACTTAAATTCTGGCTCCACCAATTACTAGTCATATTGCCTCGCACAGTTACTAATTTCCTAAGCTTCAATTTTCTCATCCAAACAAATGATGATGTTAATAGCATCTTTCTCATGAGGTTGTTGCAGGATAATTGAAATATGTCACTCTGCACTGTATCTGGCGCTCAGGGCATACGCATTAAATCATGGGTGATACAATGAAATCGCTGAAATCACTGTTATTAATAGTTATAATTAGTAATAATAATGTTTATATGTAATAGTTAAAAAACCTTATCTAGCCAGGACTTGTAAGTTATTCTCATATTTCACTTAGCTCCATATAAGCCTTGTCCTCTTTCATTCCATTTTCTCCAGGGGCTTCCTGCAAGTCACCTGAAGGCCTTCTTTGAAGGGAGCTGTCCTCCTCAGTGAGTCAGGCTGAGCACAAAAGATTGTAATTTCATTAGATTGGTGCCTGGAACAGCAAGGCCAAATCTGATCATCAGATTACTCAGAAAATCTGTCCCTACAGAGATATAGCCTGAGTTCTGCCAGGAGAGGACCCATATTGTTTCCTTTAAACAACAGCTTATTCATTATTGATAAGATCCAAGGACATCTCCATCATCCACTACCCTAATTTAATAAAATATCTTGTTCACTAAAGTGGTGGTGCACAGAATGGCTATTGATTCCAACTTTCAGCTGGGGACAAACTAATTTCCTCTGAATAGGGATTTTACTATGATAAAATGAGATGAATGCTTAAGTATTTCTTTTCCTGGTCCATGGAGTCACAATTGCTTAAAGCAATCAGAGATAGAAAATTTAAACACCACCAAACGAAGAAAATATTCCTTATGAAACTTCTGCAAAGAGGAAAATGAGCAAATACCAAGACCTGTGCCTCCAAATTAGAACCCACATCTTCCTATCATTCCCAAATTTAGTGTATTGCTAAGCAAGAAAAGACAGGGGCACACTGTATCTAACTCTTGCTCAACTCTTGTTAGAAAGACCACTTGGCAGACCTGGGGAGAAGCCAAATGTTATATCCTATGTGGAAACTTAGCCAAGAAAACCAGTGTATTAGTCTATCCTCAATTAATTCGGAATCCAGTAGGACAGCAGGCCATTGCTGGGCATCTCAAAATCTCTAAAACATTTTATCTGCCCTTCCTCTATTCTCCAAATCCACGCATTATGGAAAGGTACTGCCACCCCCGCCACACCCAAAAAAGGCATGTATCCTTTGATGTATCTAATTCCCCCCATTCACTCTGGTTAAAGAAGCAGCTACTCTATTTGATACTGATACTGATTTTTCCCCTAGCAAGAGAACGTAAATTGGCATCTTTGTCTATAAATCATAGCCTCTTTTTCCTCTGCCAACTCTCCCTCCCTGGGCCTAGTCTCCTTGCAATTCCTTTTTTTTTTTTTTTTCTGTATCCTAGCGTAGATGAGTACATCTGTTCTCCAAGCAGGAAGATGATTTTTCATTTCATCAAAACTTACTTTGAACCAGAACTCCCTTCACTTGTTATATCAAGGTTGGAGACTCTCAGAGCTCCCCAGCTGACCCTACCCCAGGACATCGTAGGCAGGAGAATCTCTTTCTTTAAGGCCCAGGACAAATATACGTCCCCTCCATGGAGCATCTGCTTTTCCCTTGAACAATCAGCTCCTTACACTTGTTGGCCAAATCAGGCTACTTGCAGCTTTTTTGAAAATTTGTAGCAATCTACTTTTTTTTTTTTTTTTTTTTTTGAGATAGAGTCTCACTCTGTTGCCCAGGCTGAAGTGCAGTGGCGTGACCTCAGCTCACTGCAACCTCCGCCTCCTGGGTTCAGGTGATTCTCCTGCCTCAGCCTCCTGAGTAGCTGGGACTACATGTGTGTGCCACCACGCCTGGCTAATTTTTTGTATTTTTAGTAGAGATGAGGTTTCACTGTGTCAGCCAGGATGGTCTCGATCTCCTGACCTCATGATCCACCCGCCTCAGCCTCCTAAAGTGCTGGGATTACAGGCATGAGCCACTCATTCTTAGTAGTGGTTTATCTTTCTGTTTTTAATTACTAAATTGTGAATTCCTTAACCTCAAATTATATGTCATGTTTTCCCTTTAATCCCTTGAAAATCTGGCACAATGCCAAGCAGTGTGTGATAAATGTGTATTTAAAGTGAAATTCTTTGGTATCTCTTATTATTTTTAATCATGCAACTAATATATACCTCTGTAGAGAATTACGAAAATATGATACGAATGTAAGAATAAAAAAATAAAATACCATATTTGTTGTATGTTGATATATTTAAAACAAGTTGGAAAAACAGAATTTTATATGTAAATAATACTTATAACATGAATATTTCCAAATGTTATTTAGACAAGTAAAAAACAATAATGATACTCCAATGGATTTACAAATACTTTAGCACTTTCAGTTTTACTACAGACTACACTGAATGTCTTTATGTACAAAGGCTTTCTGAAGTTCCTTAGTGTTTATTCCCATTCTAGAATTACTGGATTAAAATTATTAGTAACTGTATAATTATTTTTTACAAATATTTTATACAATGTTTACAGCAACTTCCTTTAATTGCTCTTTGACAGTGGTTTTTATCAAATTTCAGTATGTTTAACTGTAAAGAATCTTTGTAATGATATAAAATTATATCAACATTTTCAAATTTCAAGGATGCTTGTATAATGAACAGTTTTGGAAGATAGAAATAGCAAACAGCAGTTTGCCTACATCCTTGGACTATGAGAATACTATCTCTCTCTGACACAAAAGGGCCAATTTTCCTACAACACTCTGCTTAAAAATTGCATTATCTAACCTTAGGGATCTTCTGCTGTAGTATACCCCTAAGAATGTCAGGGATTGAGGAAACAGTGTAAATGCTAGTATTCTGGCATCTGCAATTGCTACAAGAAATAAACTGTCCATTGTCTTTGACCCAGATGTTTCCTATCTTCTACTAATATCCTAAATTAAACTCTGGCTGGTTACTTGATAGCTTGCAAGTAGGGTAAAACTTCAGACCCTTTACAGTTCTTGACATTTTTGTGATTTGTAATCACATTTTGTAATCCGGTCACCACAATCATTAAGTATCAATGACCTCTTCCTCCTTTGAACATATAATATTTATGGTTTTGACAATGATATTATGTGGTAGTTGGTGCATGGGTTATGAAACCAGATTTTCTTGGTTAAAAAATGGGTTCCATCTTTTATATTGTGAGAGGCCTTTAAGAAGTTTATTAAGCTCTTTTTACCTGTTTCATTATCTCTAAAATTGTAAGGACAATAGCATCTATTGCGTAGTCTTACAGTGAGAAAAAAAGTAATATGATTACCACTGCAGTGCCTGACAAGTAATTTTGTTATTGTGAGTTCTGTTGTTGTTGTCGTTGTCTGTTCATTTGCTTGTTTTGTGTGTATAAATTTTATCAGATGAACTCTAAGTTTTATGAAGACAGAAAATTGTTTTAATCTCCTCTGTCTCCCTACTCTTTCCTACTGTTATTGTGTGTATGTTTCTTTTTCTTTTTTAATTCTTATAGATATCTGCTCAAGGCAAATGCTAAGAATTTTTTCAATGAACAATACAAATAGATAAGTAGTGATTTTACTCAACTGCACATTAAATCCCATTTCATCTTTCCTTCCTTCCTTCTTTTCTTCCTTCTTCCCTTCCTTCAAGGGATTAATATTTATTGATCACCTAATATATGACAACATCTGGAGATACAAGATAAATATGATCTAGACCAGTAGCAGAATCATGCGCAGGTGATTGGAATGTGGTAAGAACAGTGCTACACAGATGAAATAACAATTGTCCCCTTGATCTAACTATGATCTAGCTCACAGCTTCCTGTGAGTACACAGAAGGAAGGCAACTGACCTGGGTGAAACCAAGAGAGGCTTACACATATCTAGATAAGGGGACAGTTGTTATTTCATTTCTGACCAGAGTTGCCCTAATTTAGTACTGAGGAATAGATGGCAGGTGGAATTGAATGATTTGGAAACAATTCTCCCCTTGGGGAGAGAACTAAGTCAGCAATGACAGTGTTTCTTGAATGCAAGAGGGCCCAGGCTTACCCAGCTTATTATAGTGATGTTTTTCCTACGCAGATGCATATCCTAAAAGGGAAAAACAAAAAGAACGAAGTAATTCTTTTACGTTATTAATATTCCTATCAATGTCCACTTACTGAAAATAAAAAGTTTGAAAATATATTCACAAATATTTTTGCTGAGTCAAATACTTTTATTTGGTGCCTGTTCAGGCAAAAACCAGGCAGCAAGCCACTTGTGGCTTAATTACTAAATCATATTAAAACAAGGCAATTTAATTGTAATTAGTGTTACAATAATTTATTCATAAAATTCTAGTATATGTATTTATTTCCTATAATTCATTACTTCCAGCCCAGGACTATGTGTGCTCCATTAAATTAAAAAGTACAAGGTCATTAACCCACAATTCTGCTTGCAATCCTGTTTCTAGATTGCATTCTCTTTGCTCTTTAGTTAGGATTAAATTGTTAAGTCCTCTTAGGTCATTTATCCTTAACTGTTTAATTTCTGTGTGATACCCTAAAGGCTCATATTACTGCTAATAAAACAGGTGTGACCTGCCCAGAAAACAGTTGTCTTTCCGTGAATATCTGGTCGAGATCCAAAATTGGGTCAATCCTCTTTAGCATGCATTGTCCCCTACGCTTAACTCCAGTCATTAATGGTTCCGAAATTGTAATACAAATCTGCATTTTCCCGATTATTAAAGTTGTAGGGACTTTTACCAAGAGCATTTAACACATGAAAAAGTGCACACGTGTCAGTACTATTTTTTTTTCTGAGTCCAGACTATCTCCTACTTTTGGATGGGCACAGATGATTAACTGAACATAAAGGTAATGAATCTGAAATTGTGGAGTGAGGCTTCCCAGGCAAGTGGCTTCATATAGACAAAAGCCTAAGTTTTACTATCAGAAAATGCATGTACTACACAGTCAAGACCAGCCATCTACATATCTCTCTGAGTACTTGTTTAGAGGGAGTAGACGGCTCAATGCAAACCCATCTCCACTGCTGACAGAGTAGCTGCATGATGGTAGAAGCAGGAAAGAAATTCAATTTATTAAGTTCCTCCTACCAGTATAGCAGGAAACTTGAGACAGAGGTTTTAAGATCTTTGGACTCAGGCAAATTTCCCAATTCTTCAAGAGAGGTATCAGTACAATTTTATACAGAGGAAGAAAGTGAGACATAGATATAAAGTTACTTGCTCAAAGTAGCTAGCATGGAATTAAACCTAGGTTTCTAGAATTCAAAAACTCAGTGTACTGTACCACATTCTGTCTTTCCCTTTAGCATTAAGATATGCAGAACAAGCAATCACTATTCTGGAAATTAGTTAAGCTATTTTAATATTAACCACATTTTGCTTCTTCTTCTCTATTACACCTTCTTGCTATTCTCTACTAAACATGAAATTTCCTGAAAAGCAGGTAGAGAAAGTATTAGGTTATTAGTACTATATATTGGTGGTGTGCCCCTGAGATGGCCTTTTAGGACTAAGGTATCCCCTAATCCAACGGCAGGGAATATTGCTGCTGGTGTATCTCAGCTGAATTTCTCCCAATAAACTATCCTTGCCCAAAGAGATCTGTTTTGCCTGTCTTCTCTCCATGGCACCTCCCTCCCACATCTAAGGACAAGCCAATGTAGGTATACAAACGTCTGACTCTTGCCTTAATTAGGGATATCTCTGAAGGGACATCTCAAATGTATAGCACTCCATTTAATTAGCTGAAGCCTCTATTATGACTGGATTACAGTTCACCTTTCACTCTTGTCTGTTCCTGCATCCCTTACTCCCAGATAAAACACCAGCATGCCCATCTGCATTTCAGAGTCTATTTTCCAGGAAACCTGACTTTGACACTTGGAGATATAAGTGGTCAAAGTGAACATTCTAAAATGGTATTTTGGAGCATGATCACCTACCAGCTGGTAGTAAAAACTCCATCATTGATGAAAGATGGAGCACTGATAGCCCCTTCGCAGTACATGTGTTTAACTTTGACCAGCAGTGAAATGGGATGGGATAATTGTGAAAGGAAGTGCACCAACAGGTTCAGTATCTCTGGTATTTGAGAGGTACAAGAAAGTAGTCATTATAGGACAATAGAGATAGGATGGCTGTGTGCAGAGTTGATCAATGTATTGAAGAAAGACAATGAGATGCTAAGGGCTATTAATCACCAGTTTAAAGATAAGGGTGATTGTTTTTGCAATCAGAGGACAGAAAAATCTCTGAGGATCAAGTGCAATACACAGTTATATGGGAAACAGAAGTCCAGAGAAGGTTGGATTCTCAAAAATATTAAGTCCGCTCTGTCAGGCAGAGCTCTGACTACAAAGGAGTCGCAAGACCCTAAGAATAAAGATCAGATTATTTGGGTAGATAAACTCATAAATCGAGGAGTGGTGAGACCCTGAGAATTGGGGTAAGGTTATCTGGGTAGATAAATTCTTAAATTTTGAATCCCTACAGATCCCTAAACTGGGTCTGCAGAAGTGGAACCTGTCAAAAACTAGTGTCCCCATTGTTTGAAGAAAAATAACAGTCCTCTGACTTACAAGACAATGTCAATCTCCTTTAAGAATCTACCCTCACCATCCCTACTGGCCACATAACCAACATGTAGGATTAAGTCACAACATAAACTAGTCAGGGAAGCCTTAGCCTATTAAAGTAGGCTCTGCCCCACAGAGCTACAGGAGCTGCTAAACCAAGCCGGATCATACTGGCAGTAGCCAGAAGAGTATGAGACTGGATCCTGAAGATTCTTTACCTAGGGAGAAGAACACACAGGTAGACAAGAATAGGTTACTGACATATGAGCACTATCCCAAGATACAGGATTTAATACCCAGCAAGGACTCTGGGTGCTAATTTGCTGGTAGAATAGTTCTTGAAAGCTTTGACGGGGAGATGACCCATAATAATTGAGGTACAAATGCCAGAGCTATTGAATTCGGTGTTGAAAGAAAGGATTAAAGGGCTCAGAGAAGTGGAAATATGAGAGTGTATATACTATGAAAGGCCAGTTGGATTTGTTCTGTGAAATGGTCAGAGGACTCTCTTCCAGAGAAATAAGGAATGTGCTAGAGAGACAAGCCCAGAATCTTGAGAAACTCATACTGACTGTCATCTTTAGGTCAGGCTAATGAAAGGAGGTGCTGTTACAGAATGGGGCTGCCTAATAGCAATGGAATGATGGGATACCAAAATTACAGGAGCCAGGTTGCAGTGCTCAAACATCAGTAAAGTAGACACAAAGATCATGATGAATGTCAGAATGACAGCCAGGGCAGGCTAACTCATAGAGAACAGTGCAGAGAGTTAATAGAACAAAGTATTTGCCAGGAGCAAGAGGATGGGCAGGAAATAAGAGTATTGTTGAACCTATACAATCAAAAGAAATACAAAATAAACAAGAAACTAAGGAACATCACCTTAGTAATAAAATCACAGTCCTTGGCTCAATTTAGGGAATGGAGCCAAATTTCAGATACATTATACATTGATTGGTGAAGGGATTGTGTCCTCAGGTGGAAAGACCATGTAATATTACAAAAAGTAAATAAACTAATGTAGTCACTTGGTTCCAAAGACACCTAAGATCACAAACATTGACTATTTTTCACTCAGGAAAGGGGGATATCAATAAATTTTGAGAAGTGTTAAACAGAGAATGTAATTCGACATTAAAATCCAGACTTCAGAAACATCATATGGCACTTGTATTAGAGTATGGTTTGTGGGCTGGGTCATAAGTAAAGTTCTGGCTCAGGTCCAGCTTACATTGGGTCCATAGACCCAAGAAAATGATCACACCCAGTGATCTTTTCCTTGGTCCTCAAACTTATAGTTGGCAGGTACGCATGTGGTTGTTGGCAGGACCTTCCACTGATTCACTGGCACATGTGGCAAGGACTGTCATAGTGGGGGAAGCCAAGTACACCAAAATTTTAAATTAAAAACAATATTGCATCCTAAGTAAAACCAGGACTATGATGAAGCCGGTGAAGTACCTAGGGCACAACATTTAAGAAAGCATTCACTTTCAAGCTCATGCATCCCAGTCCTGGCCCTGAATCTGAGGCAAGGAACAGAAATTAGTGGCATATTTAAAATCCTAAAGGATGAAGGGGGAGATGATCCCCGTTGTATCCATATTTAATAACCCTACCACAAAGTCACATGGACATAGGAAGATGCCAATAAATTATTGCACACTCCAACATGTAACAGATCCAATTGCTGATACTGTGCAGATGAGGTATCTTTCCTAAAATAGATTGAGAAAAGCCTCAGATACATAGTAGGAGGTTATTGATCTGGAAAATGTACTCTTCTCCATCCCCACCAATGATGAGTACCAGAAATACATTGCATTTATGCAGGATAAATAACAGTATACATATATATTTATCCTCCAGGGCTATGTTTATTCTCTTGTCATCTGGTACAATAAAGTCTCACGTGATGCCTACTACTGAGAGATTATGCCTAACATCATGTTGTTCCACTATATTAATAACATTATGTTAATCACACCAGATAATCAATAAGTAGAAACTAGATTGGAAGACTTGGTTAGACACATGCCCTCCAGGTTGGGAGGGAAACCCTACAAGAGTTTAGGAACCAGACACAAAACTGGAAATTTCAGGAGTCCAATGTTCTGAGTATGACAGAATATCAGCTCCAAAATAAAGTATAAATTATTGCTTCTTGCATCTCACACCGCTGAGAAAGAAGCACAACCTGATAGCCCTCTTTGGGTTCTAGAGGCAGTATATTTCACACTGAATGCAATCACTTCAACTTACTTACCAAATGACACAAAAGACTACCTATTTTGAGTGGATCCTAGAGCATACAAAGGATGTGGTGCAGGCTCTGTCACATTGCCGTGGATATTCTTTGCTACTACATTTATCTGTGATAGGAAAAAATGCCATGTGGGTTTTATGTTCAACCTCAGTAAAAGAACTAGAATGTATTGTAGATGGCCTATATTTCTTGAGCTAAGCCACGATATTGTGTGACTACATGGCCGTAACCACTCATCATGAGCTGACTTCTCTTTGACACAGCAATTCATGAGCTTGGACACTATTAGGTAAAAACAGTATCTCCCAGATCAGGCAAGAGTAGGGCACAAGTTAGCTGATCAATTCGCCTGCCCAGACACCCATATCATCTACCACTTTTGTTATAGTGGCTTATTCTCTGCTAATATCTATGGTAACCAGCCAACAAATACAATGAAATGTTGGATTTGATTCATGGGTGAATTAGCTCAATATGTTCATGCATGCTGAAAATAGATGACAATGCAATAGACATGCAATAGTGGCCCTGAAAGATGGCAGTGAGGGAAAAATTATTCTAACTGGCAGGCCTTCAAGTGCAATAACTCATCATCTGCTTTTGATGGGAAAATGTGTCCCTAGATATGGATGTATAAACTCTTGAACCAAAGGACTTGACTAGTTAGTCAAGGACCTAGAAAGGGAAAAAGTGGAGGATCAGAGACAAGGATCTCTACGAAAGAGGCCTATATTAGACATCGTGGGGCGGGCAAGAAATGAGAAGTTCATTGGTGTCACATGCTGATATCAACTGGAATGCATCCACCATAGAAAAATTACTAAACAATCAAGTAAACAAAACAGCTCAGCTGGTTGACCACACTAATGCAGGCATAAAGTCTACAAGGATTGTGCAGCTACAATAGCAGGAATGGAGGCTACACGCAGCCCCAACAACATGGGCTAGCAATCACCAAAGCTTGTCTAGCTCTTGCCACTGCCAAATGTCCACCTCCAACAGAAACAAATGGTGAATTACAATACGACACCATCTCTCAATGAGATAAGCAATTCACATGGTGGCAACTTGATTATATTGGATTCCTTCCATCCTGAAAATTGCATAATTCATCTTGACTGGATTTGATACATATTCTGGGTATGGCTTGTCATTCCCTGCCCACAGAGCATTAGCAAGCAAAAATTATCCAAAAGTCTTACAGAACAGTAACCGTTCTATGAAGCTATGGCCCCTAAAGGCTGAACATAATCCAGGAATCAAGGCATGGACATAGAAGTGATCCTGCTTACCAGCAGTCTCAGTGATCCACTTGAGGAATTACTGCACCCCATTGCCACGACTCTATTTTTGCAGATTTAGGGGTCCCTAATAATCTCACTTAATTTCCATTGTTGCAGTAAGCACATGATTAAATGAGGTGATTTCTGAAGAGGAATTTTATTTACAGTGGTCAACATATAGTGAACACTTGATATCATTTATAATTTAGGTAGTCTATTAAGCAAGGATAAAATCTCTTTTCACAATTTCAGGTTTATTTTGACATGAAAATTATCTTTTAAAATAGCTCATTCACTTAAATTTATATTTAAGTGCTTAAATTTAGTGGACTAAAATACACACTAAGATGAAAATGAGTAACAACTGCATTTGTTGGCATCCTTATACTTTGTAAAAAGGAGAAAGCTATTGTGTGGGCTAAATTGTGCCCCTGAAAAAGTTCATGTTGAAATCCTAACCCCAAGTACCTCAGAGTTTTACTGAATCTGGAAAGAAGGTATTGATTATAGAGGTAATTAAATTAAAATAAGGTCATTAGAGTGAGCCCTAGTCCAGTATGACTGGTGTTCTCATAAGAAGAGAAAATATGGACAGGATACATTCAGAAGGAAGACGATGTGAAGACATAAGAAAAAAAACAGCTGTCTACAAACCGTAGAGGAAAGACTGAAATAAATCCTCCCTCGTAGCCCTCAGAAGGACTCAACCCTGCTGACACCTTGATCTTGGACTTCCAGCCTCCAGAACTATGAAAACATACATTTTTGTTTTTTAAGCCACTCCAACCATGGTACTTTGTTATGGTGTCCTTAGCAAATTTATACAATTAACAAGGCATTTTGTCTCTTGTGTTTGCTCTTTTCTGCTTTTGTTCTTTGTTCTTTTTTTTTTTTTTTTTTGATAAGCATAGTTTTATTTTCCTTTTTGCCTTCAAAGCAGGGACTCCTACAGATTATACTTCTTCAGGTACCACAAAGATTTCTCTTGGATGATCAGAGTTAAATATTGAACCAACCAAGAGAATAAGGAGGAAAAAAACTGTTTTCTCAGCAGAGAAAGACAGTATCTTCAATCAAATGATCAATCCATGGATCTTGATGTATTTATGCTCATGTTTATGTTTATACAACACTAAATTGATCTTTTTAGTGTAAAATTCTGGCTTTAAAAATGTTTTCATTTGGTATTCACTTGCTATTATGTATTTAAGTATAATCTTAGTTGCTTCCATGGAATTTCAATTAAACAATATAATCACCAGACATTAAAAAATCAAAATAACCTATTCTTTTCATTTTTGTTTTCTTACAGATTGGCTTTGCTCACTTCTGACTTAGGGAAATAGCAGGGAAAATGGAAGATTTATATGCCACATATGTTGAACTAAGGTGGTCACTTAATTTACAATTTAGACAAATGAAGGCATGTGTTGTTATAACCAGTTCAAAGATTAGAAAACAGGAGTTCAGAGGCATGTTTAATTTTCCAATGGCCAGCAGTTAGTAGATGATAGAGACC
This sequence comes from Homo sapiens, assembly GCF_000001405.40. Classification (NCBI taxonomy): domain Eukaryota; kingdom Metazoa; phylum Chordata; class Mammalia; order Primates; family Hominidae; genus Homo; species Homo sapiens. The sequence goes on along the minus strand of NC_000010.11, from coordinate 107,639,854 downwards.
ATTGAATTTCAAGCCATGCTCTTCTTCCTGTCTTCTCTCAGTGAAAATTAAATGTTACTGCTTCTGTTGTAACAGCAAAACTTTAAGCCCCTCCACCAACCAAACTTATTTTCCCTTTTTTATTCAGGCAGACCAGCAAATAAACTGCTTTTTGCCTAGTAAGGAAGCCATTTGTTGACAATTTTTGCTTTCTTCCCAAGCAAAGGAAACAAACTCATTTCTAACAAAATAATAGCATCAACATTTTCAATTTGTGGGTAGAAACTTTTCCTTTGCTTCATCACTAGGCAAACATATTTTCCTCATAGATGTCAGTGATCTAATTTTGTGTTTGCCTTTATCAGTAACATTGCAAAATCAATATTTATTCCTTCTTTCACTTGTTCATCCCTTTGGAAAACTTGTTATAGGCCTGCTCTCTGTTTTTTTTTCAAGATGTAGAGGCGCATTAAACCTGTCTTTGCCCTTGCAAGTCTCACATTCCATGAAAAAACAGATATAGAAACCAAAAATGCAGGTATGAGGAGACACTTTAAAATCGATGCCTCTGTCTGCTGCAGTCAAGCATGATGAGGGCACAGTAAAAGAGGGATTCATTGGCAGAAGTGAGAAAAAACACGGGACAGCAATTCTGAACAGCTGGAGTATATATGGGGTAGATTCCAGGGGATACAACTGGAAGGAAGAGCAGGGATCACATCATGAAAGCTGAACATCAAAGTTGTGGAGATTTACCAGTAATCAATGGAAAATCTTGGAAGGACTTTAACCTCTGTTGCTTGCTTTAAAGTCTCATAATTAGCAGTCAAATAAAATAGCCATCTTTAGACACTGCCCTGTTTTAACGTCTAAAGGAAAGTCATACTCCTACAATGGGGCGGGGCAAAGGATGATTTACTAGAGATATAGGAGTTTAATGATTATGTTTTCAGAGCAATTTTGCATTTATGTCTGACCACAGGTCAGAATTTTCTCTTCTTTTTTTTTTTCTTTTCCAGAGTTTTGCTCTGTCGCCCAGGCTGGAGTGCAGGGGTGCAATCTCAGCTCACTGCAACTTCTGTCTCCTGGGTTCAAGCAATTCTCATGCTTCAGCCTCCCGAGTAGCTGGGATTACAGGCACCCACCACCATGCCCGGCTAATTTTTGTATTTTTAGTAGAGACAGGGCTTTGCCATGTTGGCCAGGCTGGTCCCAAACTCCTGACCGCAGGTGATCTGCCCACGCAGCCTCCCAAAGTGCTGGGATTACCGGCGTGAGCCACCGCGCCGGGCCTCAGAATATTGTAAATTGAAATGATTGGAAGAAATCTAGGACAATTTACTACTCTTTAGTGCTTTTCAGAGGTAGCGAATTGGATTACTGTGTCCTTGTCATTCTGTCCAGCAGGTTGTGTCCTATTCAATTTGAATCTGCATCCATCTAGCTTTAAAGTCTGAGTGCTTAATAATCCTGCAATTCTGACATGGTTTTTGATATTGTGTGATTTTTGTAGGGTTCTTCCTTCCTGGCCTCTACACTCAACAGAGTATATGTTTTCATCACCACAATGCTTGAGAAATGAAGTCCCTCGGGCTTGTCTGTAATATTGGCTGGACTTCAGAATCACCTGGTAATGGTTAAAAGCCCTGGTGTCCAAGCTAGACACATGGCCAATTAAATCAGAATATTTGGAGATGGGACCAAGACATCATTAAGTTTGATTATTTTTAATTTCCCAGGTAATCATTATGAGCAGTTAAAACTGAGGACAACTGCTGTGTGATCATCAGCCATGAATCATTTATTTTGTTTTAAATTCACACACTGTGTGTTCACTGTGTACCTGCTATGCACCTGCTAGCAAAGTGTCATGCAATGATTGGAACAAAAGAAGAAATAATACAGAGTCTCTGTTCTATGGGAGATGACATTTTAGATTAAGGCACAAGTCAAATTTATTTGAAAAGGTTAAAGAAAAATCAAAAGATTGTAGTAATAAGTTGCCACATATATGCCCACAGGAAATATACTTTATGGAAAGACTGATCACATATTTAGGTTTGCCCAGTGACAGGCATGGCTTATGCCTGTTCCTTATTCTCAAGTTTTCTAGTTTGGATGATAAATTATATGCTCACTTTAAATATTAAATAATAAAGCAATGGGAAATCATAACATGGAACCATAGAAAAAGCAGGCATTAATGGGAAGTTGTGGAGGAATTGGACATGAGAGAAACAGAAAGTGATAGAAGGACATATGTGAGTAAGTGCTCATGCCTGGTACAAAGGCAGTGAGCAAAAGTTCTGGCCAGCATGAAGGAGATCTAAAGAAATGAATCCATCACCAAATTAGAAGATTGAACACATTAGAAGCCAAAGATATTTCTGAATGAGATAAGAGGTAAATTTAATGTCAAATACTCATCCTTTGAAAGAAGTTTTCCTCACACGGAGAAAGTTAGCGGTCAGCTTTGCCCGTGTCCACTCTATCAGAACATGGAGTTTCCACAATTATTCTCTTACTGTTCGCTTTTGCTCAATTCAGTTCAAACAGCATTCTTCTGCCTCAGCCTCTCAGCTTGGGTTCCTAATCTTCTATTTCCCTTCTCATCTCTTTTCCTGTCTCCCTTTTCAAGGCTATCTTCTATTGTTTCTAAAAATATTAATTTAAATGGCATATTTTTAAGGAAGCAATCCATAGTTCCCAAACCAGGTTACCCCTTGAGAGGCCAGGACTGAATAGGTCCTAGGGGTTGGCTTGGACCAGTGTCTATGCAACTTGGGATTCACATAGAGTGACTCTCCATTCTCATTTCCCCTCATGCCTTCCTAATGTGCTTTAAAGTTCTGTAACCTTAATTTATGACTAAGTCCCCTTTTCTTTGTACAGCTTAAGTTACTACTTTGAAAAAAGGCAAGCATTAGAATCACCTTTTATTTTCACAGCAATAAAAACTCATTTTGCACAAACGAAATTGCAGCTCTGGCTTCTGCTCTGATTTTCTTTCCTCTTCCTGCAATAACTGTCTTGTGATGAGGCCGTCACTTTCCTCAATGCCCACAGCCTACTCTGGATTCCTGTCTTGGTTCGCTCAGCATCGATTAGCCCACCAAGGCTTTTAAAGGATTTTTGTACAATAAGATTGTCATCCCCAAAGTAAAGTGATTTATTGAGAGATTTGCAGGTCCATCACTGACAATGAAATGGCCACATTGGCAATACAGGGTTATCAAAAATTACCTTGGATAAAGTTGCTATTCAACAGGCTGAAGAAGAGGTAGGTGAGAGAGTAAAATGTATCTACAGGTGACACTTTTTCAGGAGACAATACCTCTCCCTTACAGAGTCAAGACAATCATAGGAAGTTAATTAATTCAGCTTATAACTATTAAATATCAATAATGTGCCCAGTCTGTGTTCAATCCTAAGCATACCACTAGACCTTTAGTCCCTGTTTTCTTGGACTTAATGGTCTTTCTACCTCATATTCTGCACAGAAGCCTATATAGAGTTGTCCAATAAATCATGAAACTAAGAAAATTATTTTCTACTCTGCCACACATTTCTCCCCACTGGTCCCATGATGTGAGGCAGCTAAGAGATGCTGTATTCAAAGCACCAGATCTATATTATACTTACATATAGAATCCATTTCTCAGCATCTTCTTCAGCCCATGGGCATGTGGAGCTGTGTGTTCAAGGACAATATCCATGTTGACATGTTCAAAGAGGCTGAATAAAATCAGCAACTTCAACGTGAAATTCTTCTATGATATTTAAGGCAGCTTGAGAACTCTGTAACCAGGTGAAACAAAAAATAGCTAATGTATCTCTTATCACAAAACCTTTCTCAAAAGAGAGTTGTTTCTGAGGTTGGCTAGTCAGGAGTCAGTAGAAGATAATTTATCTGATTTCCTCTAAGCCAGTCAGTAAATCATTTATCTTCAATATGTCCATGTTGCCATGCTATATTTAGATGGCAGGGTCAGCTCAATCTTGAAACCTGTTTGGAATTATTTTCCCTTTCTCCTTCCTTGCTCCCTCCTTCCCCCCGTCTCAGCCATCCTCCTTTCTTTCCTTTCTTCCTTTCTCCCGTTCTTGCACGCCTTTCATCATCTCTCTGACTTCAGTTTTGTTTGTACTTTTAACCAAACCATTAGCTGAACAAACAATAGGTGAGCTAGCAATTATTGTGGGTTGCCAATACAGATTCACTTAAAACTTGAGGCATGAAATGCAAATAAAATATTAAGCAAAGCATGTGAAACTAATTGGTTTTCTTCCTGGAAATTCTTCCCAACAGTTGGCTGTCCTTGCATTTTGTTGGCACAGAGCTGGGCTTAAAGGCCAGTCTTACATTCTAAGTAACAATTGCATCAATAGCAATTTATTTTCTGTTAACACCTGTTAAAATGAACAGCATCACAAAGGTGGAGAGTGTGAAGTGCCCCACTCAATCAGAAATTACAGAAATAATAAAGTGGTAAAGGCATAACCTGTTTATTCAACACGTATTTATTGTGCCTCTGTATCTTGGGCAGTTGCCTAAGCTTGGGAGATAGATGTGAGACATCGCTCCTGTCTCCTCAAGGAGCTCACAGGCTAGACGGGAAGAGAAACACACAATTACAAAAGTGATATGAGAGGGAAAACAGGGGTGAGGATGGGGATGTAATCTCATCTAAAGAAACTGGAAAAGCTTTCTGGGAAGGAAAGACCTCAGAGCTCAGATCGGAAAGAAGAACGATGAAGATTGAGAGGTGACAAAAGGGTAAAGAGGGGAAAGTGTCCTATGCAGAGACAGAGGTGGAAGAGGTCACAGAGACAGAAGAGATCATGGCACAGTGGGAAGCATTAAGTAGTTGAGCATGGCAGGAGCACAGAGTTCAAGGAGCCGAATGGGAGAGATGTGGCTAGAGATGTCAGCAGAGCCAGATGATAAGGCCACTGGACGAACCTCAATGGGAGCTTACTAGTCACAGAACCACGACACCTTGGTCATAAATACAGTCTCATGATGGCATCATCAGCATTTATTATATTTAGCAGTGCCCATGGGGCACTTCCCTCAGTTGATGGGGGTATGGCAAGGGAGGTGAGGGTTGCAGAGGTTAAGGATACAAGAGGTGCTTTTTACCCAAAACTGTTAGGTTTCATGGCTGTAGAATCAAGAGATAAGCCAGAGTGGATCTAATCAGAGAATTATACAACATGGGGTGCTGGATGCAATTAATATTTTAGAGAACACACCTGGACAATTCTTGTACCATGGGTTAGTGTCTGTGACTCACAATTATGTCTTCTGCCTTAGAATGACCTGCTAAATGTTAAAAGTTGAAGAGTGAAGGAGATCCTTACACCCCTTGATGTTACTTTGTCACATCCTAGAACAGATTTCTCAATATTGTTTCACTTGGACTACCCTCTCCGTCCACCTCGACTCAGAGTTGATTGGCACAGAAACTTACAGATCTGTTATTTCCTTATTCTCTATATCCTTCAGTGGGTAAACACTATGTTCTTACACAGAAGAAACTGAGTGATACTTCCTTTCTAGAATGTTTCCACCCAGAATGGAAGAATTAAATCGGCCAGGCACGGTGCTCACGCTTGTAATCCCCGCACTTTGGGAGGCCAAGGCGGGTGGATCACGAGGTCAGGAGATCAAGACCATCCTAACACGGTGAAACCCCGTCTCTACCAAAAATACAAAAAATTAGCCGGGTGTGGTGGCAGGCGCCTGTAGTCCCAGCTACTCGGGAGGCTGAGGCCGGAGAATGGCGTGAACCTGGGAGATGGAGCTTGCAGTGAGCCGAGATCGTGCCACTGCACTCCAGCCTGGGCGACAGAGCGAGACTCCATCTCAAAAAAAAAAAAAAAAAAAAAAAAGGAATTAAATCAATAGCTCTAGTCCTTCCTGCCTGAAAAATTACTAAATTATAAGCAGGTATACCTCTAGCTTGAGTTTAAGGTCCATTCTACATGTATGCCTGACAAGTCATGGCTGGCAATGGGACAGTTCACCAATTATATACGTGTATATGGGTCCAAGTTGCATCACGAGAGAGAATTTATATTTATGGCGAGGGAGTTGGACTTACAAACTAAGTCTCATTCTCAGGAAAGAGGGTTAATTCTGAGGAGAGCATCGTTTTTGCTAGGTAGTTTCCCCCAGTCCAGCCTTCATGGACTCCTATCTGGGTCCTAAAGAATGATGTGCTTTAAGCAAAAATAAAAATATTTGCTTACATTAAATGGTTTGTAAAACATTGGAGAATAAAGTAAAATCCTACTTGGCAATCAGGTGGCAAAGTTAACACAAATAAAATCCCCGCAGCCAGGACCCAACCTGCTTTAAGACTTCCAGGATTTCAGGGGCTCCAAGATTGCAGTAGATCACATATTGGCAGCAGAGCCTGACAGGACAAGCCACACTGTCTATGACATGAGTTGCTAGGAAGAGATCATTAGAGGGTCTTGGAAGCTATGAGCCTAGCACACAAAATTGTCCTTGGGGAGAGAGGGGGTTGTCAGGCACTTAGGCAACTTCTTGGGCATCAGAAATTCAGGTGGAAGAGCTGTTGCGGCATATTTGTTAAAGGGCATGTGAGGCCCCTGATGGGGACTACACTATATAAATGAGTAAAACTTCGAAGGATACCGAGAGATATAAATGAATAAAACTTTGTCTATATCTTTGGGTGCACACAAGAGGCAGAAAAAATCCTGTTGGTTATTATGCCTGTTATGTTATTCTTAACTCTATCCTGGTACAAACAAAAGAAACACAGTTTGTGTACATCAAAACTACTGAATCCTAAGAAAATCACTGAAATAAAAAAAAAAATGTGCAAGATTTCAAGACAGGATTTTGGTTAGAAATTTGTTTCTGGGCTGGGCGCGGTGGCTCACGCCTGTAATCCCAGCACTTTGGGAGGCCGAGGCGGGTGGATCACGAGGTCAGGAGATCGAGATCACAGTGAAACCCGGTCTCTACTAAAAATACAAAAAATTAGCCGGGTGTGGTGGCGGACACCTGTAGTCCCAGCTACTCGGGAGGTTGAGGCAGGAGAACAGCGTGAACCCGGGAGGCGGAGCTTGCAGTGACCAAGATCGTGCCACTGCACTCCAGCCTGGGTGACAGAGCGAGACTCCATCTCAAAAAAAAAAAAAAAAAAAAAAAAAAGAAATATGTTTCCGTTTCTTTATTTTTTTTTAGAAAAATAACCATGTTTCAGAAAGTCATGTATTTCTGTGGCCCATATATAAACATTTATTCATAAAAACACAAAATGTGAGTTAGATATGAAAAGTGCTCTTGGACGAGAGGGTATGATCTTGGTTTGAGGAAATTAGCGGCACTCCAATAACCGCTTAGGGAATGACCCTAATTTTTGAAAGAATCAAATATTCCTCCCAAAATATCTAGTACCAAAGATAGGGTAAACTGTTTAATGAAAAGCATAAGTAAGATTAATGCCATACTCAAAATATGGAAAGACCAATGAATTATTGGTGATTAGGAAGTAATCAGGCTTCAGAATGCTTCTTTGTTTTCCTCCTAGTTTTATTCCATTTTTTGTGATACATTTAGAATTGGTTAATAGGTTTTTTTAATTTTTTAATTTTAAGTTTTTTGAAACAGGGTCTCACTCTGTTGCCCTGGGTGGAGTGGAGTAGCACAGTGACAGTTCACTGCAGCCTCAAGCTCTCGGGCTCAAGTGATTCTCTCGCTTCAGCCTGCTGAGCAGCTGGGACTACAGGCACACATCACCATGCCCAGCTGTTTGCTTGTTTGTTTTGTAGAGACAGGATTTTACTATGTTGCCCAGGCTTGTCTCAAACTCCTGGGCTTCAGCGATCTGCCTGCCTGGGGATCTCAAAGTGACAGGATTACAGTAGAGAACTACTGCGCTTGGCTTGGTTAATGAGTTTTACCTTCTGATGTCTTCCTTTGTCTGGAGACATGAAGGCAGGCAACCATATGAAGTTTTCAGTTTGTTTGTCTATTCATTCCTTAAGAATGTATTTATTGAGAGCCCAGTAGGGCCCATGTAGCAGGACAAGTACAGATATAAAAAGTAAACATGGCCTGAATTCTTAGTTTCCTAAAATATAGAAGGAGGATAAAGGGGATTATTAAAATTGTGATAGAACACTAACTGAATTATTATATTATAGATGTGGTGAGTTGATGAATTATAAATATACTCAATTATAACTATCATAATGGATTATCCTGGAGGGATTTCACTGTGTAGTGTAAGGAGAACTATTTGGGATATTGGGCATTCCCTATGCTTTGAAAATGTTATAGAATCTTAGAATTTAAAGGGTTATGAAATATCATCCAGCTTAACTGTATTTTGTAACTGATTTTAGGACATATTTAATGGGCTTTTTGTTGTTATTATTTTTATGTGTTGAGTATATTTACTTTTTAAATTTTTTGGGCCAAGGTTAATTTCTCTGAGAAGTGAAATGATAAATAAAGCCTTATGACATTATTTAAATAGATGTAAATATGCCTGAAAATATACTTTCTAAGAGTTGTGAGTGAAAATTTCTTTGGGAAGAGGACATTTATATAAAATCAAAACATCTCCCCACAAATTATTTATTAAACAAAATACAGAACATAAGAACTTTGAAATGGAAAAATGGGGAAACTATGAGAACCAATTTATCAAAGTTAACATCACCAACAAATACTGGGACACATCAGTATAAGATGCTACCTAATAGAGAAGGATAATCACTACCAACATGATTTTATAGGCCAAAGTACATAATATGAATGTACTTATGACTGAATTATCAGACAAATGCAAATGGATAGACATTCTACAGAATAAGTGGACTATTCACTTCAAAAAATGTCAAGTGTGTGAAAGCCGAGTGTAATGTGAAATATTTCCAAAATATAGAAGACTAAAGAGCCATATCAACTAATTGCTATGTGTGATACTGACTTATATGTTGAACCTGGAAACAAACATATAGACAAAGTTATTAAAAATATTATTGTAAAACTTGGAGACATTTGAATATGAACTGTGGATTACAGATGATTATTAAATGCTATTATATTTTTGTGATTTAGCTAATTGTACTTTAGTTATATGATATGATTTTGTTTTTAACATATATACACTGACACATTTAAGGGTGGAAAAGTATGTGTCCAACTTCCTGTACTGTATTTCAGAAAAGAAAGTATGTGTGCATGTGTGTGTATTATAAATGTGTAGATAAAAAGACAGAGCCAGAGAGACAGAGAATGATAAAACAAACACATCAAAATGTTAACACTTGGTAAATATGGCTAAAGTGTATAATATATTTTATTTTTTATACTTCTTTTTAAGATTTTAAGTTTAAAAATATGTCAAAATAAAAAGGCCACATTTGACCCATTAAAAATATATATCAGCAAGTCAGTCTTCTCTAAATATTCATTACCTATACTCAGTTATCCCAGAAACTGTGCCAGGATCTTGACTCTGTCTGTTAGTTACTTAGTCAAATTCTCTGTCACAGCATTGGCCTGATGTCTCAGAATCCTTTGACTTTTCTGTAAGAATGTTTCTGGAAAAACATGTTTATGAGTATGTCCAGTAGCTTTCTGACATGGTTATATACATTTATTTATTTGTCCACAGAATATCCTACTATTCTTGGTCTAAGTCTTTCTGCCCTAATGCATATCTTTACTGTAGAATATAATAAGACAATACGTGAAGAATGTAAAACTACCTAACAGCTCTTGAGTGTACAGTATCATTTTAAATAACGTTTTACTTTGATTTGGGATTTTGCCTGTCTATTTTCAGTATACAGTATATGAAAACTCTGGTATATCACACTAAATATATTTTGTGATTTAATAAATTTGAAATAATATGTTACATGCAAAATAACTTGCTATAAACTAGAGAGAATTCTCTTTATTTTTCTAGTTTGCATTTTATCAATTTAGCACAAAACTAATCTTAGGTATACTGGATGAGACATTCAATTCACTGTGCTCTTCTTATCCATGTCTCCTAAGCCTTAAATATATAGATCATATTTTCTACAACAAAATCTATGCTATTTTGTGTGAATTTCCTCCCAGATTGATAAACATATATAAATAAAAATTTATTAAAATTACAATCTATTTAAATATTTAACGAAACACTTTGTGGAAATACAGTAATTGAAATTACCTTAAGTTGGGTTTTCCTTGAAAGTTATTTAGTATAAGCATGGTATAGTTCCTTGAAGGTTTTTCTTTGTGTGTATGCTGTAAATATATTTAGCCAATACTATAGTTGAAGAGGCTCAATTAACACATATAAGACAACAGAAGGAATGTAAGATGATTATATCCACAGTAACTGCCAAAATGTATAGTCTCGACACCAATTTCCCTAAGCATGGATTTTCATTACCCCATGTAGAATTCTCATTCCAAATTAAGATGAGTTTCACCAGGTCTTCTACTCCCTGATATTGTGGGCAGTAATTTAAAGGTATGCACTTTTACTTTGGTCAAGTATGCAGCTTTTATTAGATTCTCAATGGAATTCACAAATAAAAATATTTCAAAAAAGCAGACTAGTTTCCTCATTTTAAAATTAGCTTTCTTGAGATAAAAAAAGGATATAATAAAATTCATTCATCTAAAATATACAATATGTTGACTTTTGAGAGGTGTATACAACTGTGAAAACATCATCATAGTTGTACACATCACGCAACATATTCATTACCCCAAAAATGTCTCTTCACACCCCTTTACCTCTAACCTCAGGCAACCATTGATCTCCTTTGCATCACCATAAATATATTTTCTTTTTCCAGAATGTAAGCAAATACCGTAGGTATTACTTTGTGCTTGGCTTCTTTCACTCAACATAACAATTTTGAGATTAATTCTTCTTATTGACTTTACAGATAGTCCATTAATATTTATTATTGGATGTTATTCCATTGTATGGTTGTTCCACATATTGTTTATTCATTCACTTGTTAATGAGCACTTGGATTATTTGTGGGTTTGGTTATTGAGAATATAGGTGGTATGAACATTCCTATACAAATACTGCTTGGGTAAAAACAGAATTGCAATGGCTGTTACATAATAGGTGCATTCTTTTTTTTTTTTAGACGGAGTCTCGCTCTGCTGCAAGTGCAGTGGCGCGATCTTAGCTCACTGCAAGCTCCGCCTCCCGGGTTCAGGCCATTCTCCTGCCTCAGCCTCCAGAGTAGCTGGGACTGCAGGCGCCCACTACCACGCCCGGCTAATCTTTTGTATTTTTTAATAGAGATGGAGTTTCACTGAGTTAGCCAGGATGGTCTCGATCTCCTGACCTCGTGATCCGCCCGCCTGGATTACACTATGATAGGTGCATTTTTAGTTTTTGAAGATGATAACTAAGACTTTTGCAAATCACTCATATCATTTTACTTTTATTAGTTTATAAGAGTTCCAGTTGCTCTACATCCTTGCAAAAATGTCATATTAATGACTAATTTTTGCCATTCTAATATTTGTATGGTGATATTTCATTTTGGTTTTACTTCTATTAATCTGATAACTTATGAGGTTGAGCATTTTTAAGTGCTTATTGCTCATTCTACATTAGTTTTTGTAAAGTACCTGTTCAAATATGTGTCCATTGTTAAATTAGCTTGTTTTTCTTATCATTGGGTTGAAGGAGGATTTTTATATAAATATTAATATACATATTTGTTGAGATGTATGTATTGCAAATAATTTATTCTATGGCTTGCTTTTTATTTTATTAAGGGCTTTTAAAAATTATTTTATTAAGATGTAATTCAAATACTATACAATTTTCTCATTGTATTAGTAAGGTTCCTCCAGAAAAATAGAAGCTATAGCGTCGTGTGTGTGTGTGTGTAATTTTAAGGAATTGACTCACACAATTGTAGAGCCTGGCAAGTCAAAAATCTGCAAGGTGGGCTGGCAGTGCAAAGGTCCACGGAAGAGCTAATATTGTTGTTTTAGTCCAAAGTCAGTCTGCTGGCAGAATTTCTTCTTCCTCTGGAGAGATCAGCTTTTCTTTAAGACCTTCAACTGATTGGTTAAGGTCCACTCACATTAAGGATTAAAGGTAATTCTCTTTATTCAAAGTCTACTGACTTAACTGTTAATCTTATCTAAAAATACCTTCACAACAACATCCGGACATGTTTAACTAAATATCTCAATACAATGGCCTAACCAAACTGACATAATAAATTAATCATCTAGCCCATCTGAAATGTGTTATTCAAAGTTTATATATATATATATATATTTTTAAATTATACTGTAAGTTCAAAAGAAGACATTTATTCAAGGTTTTAAAAATATATTCATTAAGTTTGACAACCATCATTACAATCAATTTTACAACATTTTATTTCATAATACCCAAAAGAGACCCCATACCCATCATCAGCCTTTTACGGTTTCTTCCGGTCATCCATCTCCCCAGCCCTAAGCAACCATTAATATCTCTGCTTCTGTAGATTTGCCTATTCTGAAATTCTTGTATAAATATAATAATGTAATTTGGGGTCTTTTATGCCTAGTTTCTTTCACCTAACATCGTCTTTTCAAGGACCATTCATGTTTTAGCATGTGTATTTTATTTATTTTCATTCCTGAACATTATTGCATTGTATGTACATATCTCATTTCGTTTATCCATTCATCAGTCGATAAACATTATTTCCTTTTTATGGCTATTATAAATAGCACTGCTATGATCATGTGTGTACAAGTTTGTTTGGGCATATGTTTTTGTTCTCTTGGGTATTTACCAAAGGAGTGGAATTGTTGGCCCATATGTTGAACTTCCTAGGGAACTGCCAGACTATGTTCCAAAGTGTCTGCCCCATTTTACATTCCCACCAGCTACGTATAAGGGTTTCAATTTCTCTACATACACATGTTATTTTTTTATCTTGCTTATTATTCTTGCTATTATCTGTATTTTTGGTATAATTGTGTCAGTGAGTATGATGTAATATCCAAATTTGGTTTTGATTTGCATTTCCCTGATTAGTAATGATTAGTAATGATATTAAGCATCTTTCATGTGCTTGTCAGCCAATTGTATCTTCTCCAGAAAAATTTCTATTCAATTTTCTATGTTCATTTTATAATCAGTTCATGTGTCTTTTTATTATTGAATTATGTGTCATAGGTGTCATTTATTTCTTGAATGGTAATATAATTTGCCAGTGAAAATACCATAAAAATTAGTATTTTTTTCAGTTTTTATTACATCTCATGTTGATCTTAGTAAGTAACATTATTCAAAGAATTTGCCTGAATCATTGTCTTCAAAATATTTGGCATAAATGTTTTAATAAATTTTTTTATTTTTTAATGTCTCTAAGGTATGCATTGTTAACCTTTCTTTTAGTCTTGATGATAGTATTTTTGTTCTCTCTCTTTTCAGTAATTAGTCTACCTACAGGTTTATTCCTTTTGTTTATCTTTCCAAGTAATGAGGTTTTGTTTTTGATAATTTTCTGTATTTCTGATTTTATTAATTTCTGCTCAACTTTTTGAGAAATTTTACATCTATTTTGCTCATTATTTTATGACTTAAGATGAAACCTTATGTCATTAATTTTAGGTCTTCTTTCTTTTCCAACATGAACATTTTTAGTTATAAATTTACCTGTTAGCCAACTCACAGAGATTTTGTTGAATTTTTCATTAGTACCCAATTAAAATATTTTCCTGTGGTTTTTTGTGATATCTTCTTCATCCTACAGTCTTTAAAAATGTGTTATCTAATTTTCAAATATGCTCCCCCACATGTTTTCATTGTTAATATATTTTCTATATATCCATTATGATCAGATAACATATTCTGAATGATTTCAATCTTTAAATTTATTTAAAGTATGTGGCTTATTTGGGTGAATATATATGGGGAATTCCATATAATGTGTATTTTGCCATTATGTGTAGGGTTCTATAAATGTCAATTAGGCAAACAAATTCAGTAAATTTATAGGATTTAGCAAAGTTGTAGGATATAAAACCAGTATACAAAAGTCAGTAGTATTTCTGTATGCTAACATCAATCTGAAGATGTAATTAAGAAAGCAACTCCATTTACAATACGTTCAAAAACAATTAGAAACAAATTTAACCAGAATAAAAATCTCTGTAGAGAAAACTATAAATATGAATGAAAGAAATTGAAGACAATGAAAGATCTCTGCAAAGAATACTACAAAGTATGAATGAAAAAAATTAAAGAGAACATGTGAAAAGATATGCTCATGAATTTTAAAAAGTAATATTAAAATCTCTACACTAATCAAAGTAATATACAAATTCAATGCAATCCCTATCAAAATACCAATGACATTCTTTGCGGAATTTAAAATAAATTCTAAAATGTGTGTAGAACTACAAAAGACCCTGAATAGTGAAAGCAATCCTAAGCAAAAAACAACAAAGCCAAAGTATTGCACTGATTTCAAATTATACTCTGAAGCTATACTAACCAAAACAGCATGCTATTGTCATAAAAACAGACACAAAGACCAACAGAACAGAATAGAAAACCCATAAATAAACTTACATATTAGCAGCGGATTAATGTTTGAGAAAGGGGCAAAGAACATACACTGGGGAAAAGACAACCTCTTTAATAAATGGTCCTGGGAAAACTGGATATCTATATATAAAAGAATGAAACTAAAACCTCGTCTTTCACCATATACAAAAACCAGCTTAAAATGGATGAAACACTTAAAAGCAAGACTGAAATTATGAAACTACAGAAGAAAATATTGAGAAAATACTACGGGATGTTGGCCTTGGCAAAGATTTTTTGTGCTCAACAGCACAGGCATCAAAAGCAGTAATAGACAAATGAAATTACATCAAGCTAAAAAGCTTCTGTACAGCAAAGGAAACAATGAAAAAAGTCAAGAGACAACTTACAAAATGGGATAAAATACTTGCAAGGTATGCATCCAACAAGGGATTAATAATCAAAATATAAAAGGAGCTCTATAGCAAAAAAAAAAAAAAAAAAAAAAAAAAAGTGCAATTTAACAATGGGGAAATGACCTGAATAGACATTTCTCAAAAGAAGACATACTAATGGCCAAAAGACGTGAAAAAAAAAAAGTTACTAATCAACAGGGAAATATAAATTAAATCCACAATAAGATTTCATCTCACTCCAGTTAGGATGGCTATTATCAAAAAGGCAGAAGACAAAAAATGCTGGCAAGAATGCACAGAGAGGGAAAGGTTCATATGCTGCTGGCAGGAATGTAAAGTAGTGTAGCCATTATGGAAAATAGTATGGAGGTTTCTCAAGAAACTAAAAATGAAACTCCTATGTGATCCAGCAATTCCACTGCTGGGTATATGTCCAAAAGAAAGGAAATCAGTATGTTGAAGAGATGTCTACACTCCATGTTTATTGCAGCACTATTCACTATAGTCAAGATATGGAATCAACTTAAGGGTCCCTCAACAGATGGATGGATAAAGATAATATGGTATATGTACACAATGGGATATTATTCAGCCATTGAAAGGAATGAAATCTTGTCATTTGCAGCAACACACATGGAACCTGAGGTCATTGTATTAAGTGAAATAAGCCAGGCACAAAAAGACAAATTTCACATGTTCTTACTCATATGTGAGAGTGAAAAACATGGATCTCATGGAGGAAGAGAGTAGAATAGTAGTTACCAAAGGCTGGGAAGAGAAGAGGGGGATAAAGAGAACTTGGATAAAAATACAATTAAATAGAAAGAATAAGTTCTGGTATTCAGTAGTAGGATAGAAAAATTTGAGTTAATAATTTATTGTATATTTTAAAATAACTAGAAGATGGGATTTATAATGTCCTCAACAAAAAGAAAAGATAAATATTAGAGGTGATGAATGTCCCAATTACCCTCATGTGATCAATACACACTGTATACAAATATCACAATATCATATGTGTACCCCCCACAATTTGTATAACTCATATAACAATTTTTTAAATTTTCTTGACAAAATAAAGATTAATGCCAGTTCTCAAACACTTTGAAAGAATTGAGGAAACAATTCCAAACTAATTTTATGAGGCCAGCAACATCCTAATACCAAAGCCGTGCAAAGATACCTCAAGAAAATAGAACTACAGGTCAGTAACCCTGAAATACGTAGTTGCAAAAATTCTCAGCAAAATACTAGTAAACCAAATCCAGCAATACATTAAAAGGAACATACACCCCATGGCCAAATGGGATTTATTCCAGGGATACTAGGACTTGTCAATAAAGAGACTTTGTAATATAACTATACTTTTACTACAGTTCAGATTCCATGTGGAGATAGAAGATGAGTCACCTTTCATCTAGACAGAGCAGCTAGGGTGTAGGTGATTTTGCCACTGCTCAGGTACAGTAAATATTGGGAAAATCACTGTCATGGGTATTGACAACCACCGCTTTTAATGCCCTGCTTGCTTTCTTCTTCCTCCTGCACGTGTTCCTGTAGGGAAATGCCACACACATCTTGGTGGGTCTGTCAATCAAGAAGCCTGGCCCATCATGGACAGAGTGATTGGTTCAGAAACTTGTACATCACTTAGAAGAACATAATCAGGGTTATTGTCTTCGTGGTTTTCTGATGGAAACTTTTTGCCTTTTTTTTTTTTTTTTTTTTTTTTTTTTTGAGACAGAGTCTTTCTCTGTCACCCAGGCTGGAGTGCAGTGGCGCGATCTCAGCTCACTGCAAGCTCCGCCTCCCGGGTTCACGCCATTCTCCTGCCTCAGCCTCCCAAGCAGCTGGGACTACAGGTGCCCGCCACCAAGCCTAGCTAATTTTTTATATTTTTAGTAGAGACGGGGTTTCACTGTTTTAGCCAGGATGGTCTCGATCTCCTGACCTCATGATCCACCCGCCTCAGCCTCCCAAAGTGGTGGGATTACAGGCGTGAGCCACCGCGCCCGGCCACCTTTTTGCCTTTTAGAGCATAAGCTGTAAGATACTGGATTTGGAATTTCTAGCAGTTATCTTTCCCACTGTGTAGAAAAGTTTATCGAAATCAGAAGAGAATAAAGCTGACATGCAGAGAGGAGCAGAAATAATTAGGACAAGGACAGAGATTAGACAGATAGATAGATAGATAGATAGATAGATAGATAGATAGATAGATAGATAGATAGATAGATGATAGATAAAACAACAGATAAAATGGATAGTCCTACTTGTATCAAGCCCATATATAAAACTATACATGAGAACAGATTCACTCTTGGACTATCAAAATAAGGAGCTAATGAATTCTTGTTTTCTATTTTCTATTAGACTATCTTGAATCAGATATCTTTTTTGGAACAAAAAGAGGCCTAATAAAATTATACATACCAAGACGCTATTTTAAGAATAGATGACATGGAAGTATATTGAGCCACTACCTTCTGTCCAACCCAAAGAAAGAAACAACCAAGGGTGAAAAGAGGCATCAGAGAATGTGGACTCAGGAAGCCTGGGTTTCAGTCCTGCTCCATGACTTAGAATTGGTGTCTTTCTAGATAAGCCATTTAACTTCACTAAACTCCCGTTTCCCTACAAATTTTTTAAAATAATAAAATGGATAAAGATCATGAATGCTATAAAGGCGTTATGTCCTAAGATTTTGCAAAACCAAAAAGCCACAAAGGAAAAGACTGGCATATTTGAGTATATAAAGAATAAAATGCTTCGTATATCAAAAAGCATCATAAACAAATAAAAAATATAAGCATAAAGTGGAGAAAGATTTGAAATACAAAACAAACCAATATGAGCTGAACAGGAATAGAAGCAGAGAACGTGAGCCACCAATTCTTGGAAAAGAAATCATAATAAGTTATAAACAGATGAAATATTATCAAACTCAGTGGAAATCAGCAGAAGTTAGTAAACAATGAGATCTAGTATTGTGTCATTATATGTTTATTTAATGTAATGCTGACAGTGGAACTTAACATCAATCTTTCCTTCTCATGTTCATCTTCCCTCCAGTATTACTAAAAGTAATAGCTACAAACATGAGGGAAAGAACTCTTACTTGGTAACACATGAGGAGAGGTCAGTTTTTAAAAAGCAAATTTCTGACTTTTCAAAGAGCAGTAAGAATATGTATCAGATTTGGCACAATTTAGATTCAAAGTCAGAAACAGTTATACAGCACTTCTTAATCTAGATCTCTGATAGGTATTTTAAATATTATCTTAATAATTTTTACAAAGATAAAAATGCTTAACATTGGGTAAGATTACAGACTTAATAAATACAAAATAGAATAAACCCTGAAGACAAGTAGAAATAATTTACTTCAGAATTACGTGCCCTGACCCCACTCACCCTAGAATTTGGTAGTTGTCTTAAAAGCAGAAGGATTTCAATTCCTAGACACCTGCAATATAAACTTTATTTTCTTTATTTTTTCTGGCTCAGTGTTTCTTGTGCTTAGGGTACATAAGAATTACAATAGAGGGTTGTATACCCCCCAAATTACATTTTATTTATGATACTTCAAGCATGATTCATGGAACATCCTAGGACTATTTTGATTATATTTTTCCTTATGTATCAACTCCAGAATATAATTCCGCTACAAGATCCAAAACCATTGTACAATTTCTCTTCCAACAATTAGCAAATTATTTTTTAAACATTATAATATCAAAGGTTTGCCAGGTGGGGTGTGGGTTTCCAGACACTGGCTCAGATGAGCAATTAGTTACCTTTCTGCAGAGTATTTTGTTAATATCTCTGAAAATGTAAAATGTGTGAAGCTGGTCATTCTATTTCTAGCGATCTAACTTAAAGAAATACTTGCATACTCATTTAAAGATGTATGTATAGTTATTCAATGCAGCAACGGTGTAACAAAATACTGGTGGTAATGGACATGCTGCTTAAAACTCATAGATGTCATCACATTGTATTTAATATGAAATCACAGTTTCTTAACATATCATGAAAGTCCTGCGTCATCTGGCTTTTTCCTACCTTGTCAGATTCATCTTCTGCTTCTCACCATATTTCGTACAACCATCCAATCATTGGACAACATCTAGTCATTGAATATTCATTAATCAGGAAATGGCTAAATACTCATAATATACAGTAGGCCTGAAATATGATGCAACACAACGTGAGTGTAACACTGACTTGGATGTAAATACTGAAAGATCTCCAAGCAAATGTATAGTAGATGCTCATTTATAAGTGTGTGTGTGTATATCTGTGTGTGGGTGTTTAAGAGTGAGGGATGGAGGGAAGGAGGAAGAGAGAGAGAGAGATTGCTTTCTCATAGTTCCATGGCTTTGTTACAGTTGTGTTCAACAAGTCTTGACAGAATACCAAAAGAAATTGAAATCCACTCTGCACATAAATTTTGTACTAAACTTTAAAAATCATTAATAAAAATATTAAAAAGTTATCAAGTGCATTTTTGTGTAAGACACTATATGAAGCACTTTGTGTGCCTCTCCCCACTTAATCCTCACAATAGTCCCACAAAGTAAGTCTAGTCATTATCCCCATGTTTTGGTGTGGATTTAAAATTTTAAATCATTCATGATCATATGCTAGTAAGTGTCGAAGTTAGGCTACGAACCCAGGTTGTGTTATTCCTGAGTCCAGTGTCTTAATCGCTAAACTGTCTGATACTAAGAAATAGACCTTGATGCTTGGATCTTAAAGACAGCTCACTGCTCTTTTGGTCTGTCAAAAATGGCACACTGCCAGTGGCACATGAGAGAGAAAGCACCAGGCTTCTGGATTGATGTTGGAAATAGAATGATCTTACTGTCCTGCTCTTCCATGTCAGCAGGACAAGGAAATCCGTAAACTTTCTAAGATATTGACCACAGACATGGCACTTTTTCACCTTGACTCCACTTTAGAGTTGACTTGCCCTCCTGAACACTCAGTCACCCTCAGAGTTACCAGAAATGAAACGTACCATAATGCATCTCCTCCCCAAGACAACTTCCCAGCATCTGAGTTCACAGGGCATGCCCCTGCAATGCTATATGTGCTTGTTCTATGATTATTCTTTGCTTTTCTCAAGGACATGATGTCTGGAGTAGGTGCTACAAACACACAGGCCTATCTGTGAATAATAACCTTAAGTCATTCTTGGCTCGCAGAAAGAACATGGGCTTTGGTCTCGCCCACATATAACCTGAATCAAATCAATCTATTTTACTTGGGTGAATTATTTAACCTCACTGATGTATCTCTTTACCTATTTGCAGATTGGAGATACAAATAAAACTCACCTCACAAAGATTGTCAGAAAAGTTAGCTATTGCCATTTTTGAGTGTAAGCTGAACAACAGATGCAACTGCAAATACCTGATGATAGGTTCCTTGGATTCATCCTAGGTTAAGCATGTGCTTCTAATGTTTTGACAGCTGGGGCCTTGATGAATTTGGAAAGACTGCCCCTCCCAGAGCCAGTCAATTCCTAGAAATACTAAAAGACTTGCCTTTAAGGGAGTGCACTTTTCATATGCAAAATAACCAATCCAGAGCCCACAGAACCCAACATTTTCTCTTTTAGGCTCTTACAGTCAGTGTCATTATCCACCTGCCCAAATCATCCCAGCGCCAGGTACCAGGCAACTAGGGATAACCCCTATGCCCCATAATTTACTAAAAGTATTCAAACTAGCCAATCCTAAACCTGTTTACTATAGCTCACCTGTTCCTCACTGCAAAAGCCAAATTAAAGGCTCTTGTCCATTTTCCCAGCTCTCTCTCTTCCTCCTGACTGACCATGGCAGTTTCCCACATGGCTCTGTGTGTTGCGGCACGCCCACCCCTTTTGGGAACTGTAAGTAACAGATTATTTTTGCAATGACCATCATTTTCTGATCTTTTGGCTTAACCATAACTGTATAATAATGAAACCTATATTTTAAAACATGTCCTGGGGCTCAGAATCACTCATTTGCTTGGTTGTTGGCATTTAACTTTAGTTCCTTACAGAGCCACTTGGTCTTCTGGTGATATACCTAATCATAGTGACTTTTTCAATTATGTGTCATGGACTTTCCCATTGTCTTTAGAAAACCCTATTCGCATTCATAGCATATTTGCAACAGGAGAAGAAAAAAATGATTAGTTAACAGCATTTTTCTTAACATTCCCTAGGAACAGTTTTAATATAGTCATGTGTTGCTTAACAACAAGAATATGTTCTGAGAAATGTGTCATTAGTCTATTTCATTGTTGTGCAAACATCATAGACTGTATTTACACAAGCCTAGATAATATAGCTTACTGTGTCCCTAGGCCATATGGTATAGCCTATTGCTTCTAGGCTACAAACCTGTACAGCATGTTACTGTACTAAATACTACAGGCAACTGTAACACAATGGTAATATTTATGTATCTAAACATAGAGAAGGTACAGTTAAAATATAGTATAAGAGATAAAAAATGGTATACCTGTATAGGGTACTTACCATGAACAGAGCTTGCAGGAGTGAAAATTGCTCTGGGTGAGTGAGTGAGTGAGTGAGGGCTGAATGAATGTGAAGGCCTAGGATATTACTATACACTACCACAGACTTTATAAACACTGTATACTTAGGCTACATTAATTTATCTAAAAATTTTTTCTTCTTCAACAATAAATTAACTTTAACTGGTTATAACATTTTTACTTTATAAACTTTAATATTTTAACTTATTGACTCTTTTGTAATAACATTTAGCATAAAACAGAAACAGAATATACAGATGTACAAGAATATTATTTTTCTTTTTAATTAATTAATTTATTTTTTTGAGACAGAGTCTTGCTCCATCACCCAGGCTGTAGTGCAGTGGTGCCATCTCAGCTCACTGCAGCCACCACTTCCCGGGTTCAAGCGATTCTCCTGCCTCAGCCTCCCGAGTAGCTGGTAGCTGGGACTCCAGGCACGCACCCCATGCCTGGCTAATCTTTTTTTTTTTTTCATTTTTTAGTAGAGACGGGGTTTCACCATGTTAGCCAGCATGATCTTGATCTCCTGACCTCGTGATCTGCCTGCCTTGGCCTCCCAAAGCGCTGGGATTACAGGCGTCAGTCACCGCGCACGGCCCAAGAATATTATTTTTCTTTATATTCTACTTCCATAGGATTTTTCCTATTTTTTAAGCTTTTTAGTTTCAGTTTTTTTAATTTTTTGTTAAAAAAAAAAGACATAAACATTGATTAGCCTCAGCCTACACTGGGTCAGGATCATCAGTATCACTGTCTTCCACCTCCACATCTTGTCCCACTGTAAGGTGTTCAGCAACAATAACATGCACGGACCTGTGATCTCCGATGATTACAATGCTTTCTTCTGGAATCCCTCCTGAAAGACCTGTCTGGGGCTCTTCTTGAGGAGGTGTCAGTCTTTTCTGAAATACGTTCATGTTGGTTTGCTTAGTTTGTTTCTTTTTTAATCATAGATTTGCTTGTAAGCAGATAACACACCATGACCTTTTGGTGTTGGTGGTCCATGTTTTTAAACTTTTTAAGGAGCTTGTTGAGGTCTGCAAAAGCTTCTACTAAACTCTTCATTGTGGATTTTTTTTAAGGGTTATTCCGCTTTTTCTTCTCCTGCACTTCCCTTTCCTCTTGCCTCTTCTTGAGCAATGCATTCCTATTCCAATTCCAACTTCTCATTAGTCAGTTCCTTAGGAACCCCCTTTAGGAGCTCCTCAATATCATCCTTCTCCACACCCAGGTTAAAGTTACTTGCTATCTCAATCACAGCCTTTTCAATTTTTACAACCCTCTCACTCTTGGCAAATTCTCTGTAGTCATGAGCAAAACTCTTGAATATTTTCTTCCAGATGCCATTCACACATCCCTGGGTGATATCACCCCAAGCCCAAGCAAGTTTCTTGATGCAATCATAGATGTTGTAATCCTGCCAGAATTGCATGAGTGTCTTCCTCAGTTGCAGCAATAGCCTGGGCAGAGGTCCTACTCAGGCAATAAGGCTTAGAAATCACTATGAATCCTTGACCCACTGTTTGGGTCAAAGAATTAGCATTTGGAGGGACAGGCATCACTTTGGTATGAGGATGAAGATCACCAATAAAGGAGGATGTGCAGGAGCATTCTCAACAATAAGCAAAATCTTGAAAGTATGTTATTTTCCAAACAGTACTTCTCCATTTTGCTGACATGGCAATTCAGAAGGGAATTTTGGAAATGGAGCTGACTGATCCATCACTTCTTATTACTCCGGTTGTACACTGGCAATATGTTCTTACTGATATGCTTGCAGGCCCTGTAACACTCACCGTGCCAGACCACAAAGGGCTCAATGTGTAATATACAACACTACCTTCCAAATACGACTGTTATCCTGTCCTTAGAGAGCTAGAAATTTGGCATTGACTTGGTCTTATGGATGAAAGTCCCTTCATGCATTCACTTCCAGAATAGAGATGTTTCAGCCATACTCCAGATTTGCTCCAGCAGGTAAATTTTCTCTACAATTAGCTTATCTAGAATTTCCCCAATTTTTTCAGCTGCCTTCATATGAGCACTTAGAAACTCACCAGTTACTTTCCTGTTAGGTAATGAGTAATGATTCTTGAATCATTTAAACCACCCAGACCTAGTAGTAAATTCAACAACACAGTCAAGTCAAACCTTCTCTTTCATCACTGCAAACAACTTTTTGCTTTGGTCATGATTATCATGGTGCTAAGAGGAGTACACTTCTGTGTCTGGCCTTCAGTCTACATGATTAGAAGTTTCTCCATATCTGATATAGGCCCTTCCCAAATTTTTGTTAGTCTCATTGCCTTCAGTGAAGGAGATTATCTCAGAGCTTCTATTAGTTAGTTCTTGTACTTTAAGATCATAGTTATAGTGGAATGAGATCTGTCTGACAGGTGAGCAGTAATCATCATTGATGTTCTACCTTTGTAGTTCTTAATCACTTCTAATTTTGTTTTCAGGTCAATCACTTGTTGTAGCTTCTTACTGGCAATATTAGCAGTAGGCTTTTTATACTCAGAGGCCCTGATGAACAAAACAAAATGAGATTAAATCAAGCACAAAAGAAAATGATGTAATTAAGAGACACAGTAAATAGGAGAAATATGATCCTGCTGCTAGAATAACATAGCACACTGTTTTAATAAGTAGGAGGAGCATATTCCCTCTACTAGATATTCCTGCTGCTAGAATAACACAGCATACTTTTTTAATAAGTAGAAGGAGCATATTCTAAAATGACAGAAAAAAGTCACTACGTATAACAGTAACATAGTTGTTTATTGTCATTACTTAGTATGATGTACCACACATAATTGTATGTGCGACATTTTATATGACTGGAGGCGTACTAGATTTGTTTATGCTAGTATTAACCACAGATGTGTGACTAATGCATTGCACTACAATGTTATAATGGCTAAGACATTACTGATAGAAAGTCTTCAGCTTCGTTATGATCTTATGGGACCACCACGGTATATCGTCAACCAAAACATTGTTATGTGGCCCATGACTGTATATGGAACAAAATCTCCTTGCAATACAGTTTAAAATAACTGCAGAAGAAATTCCTATTATTCAACACTAGTTTATAACCAATATTGTATTATTTTTACTTGGTAAAACACATCATGTACATTTTTTTGTTTAATCATTGTGGTAACAAGCTTATTATTTCCACTTTCTAGATGGAGGGCATTAAGTTCAGAGAGACTATGACTCACCAGCCGCAAAGCCAACACTAGAACCCTGGTCTACTTCGTCTCCCTCTTGGGTTCCTTTCTTCCTATCACATTGTGTCCCTCCCATTAAAGGCTTTACTTTTCATGGTGAGGTAGAGATAATAATGATAATTATAATGATGGGAATAATGTGTGTTCAAAGTGTTTTATATCTAACACTTTTATTTTTATTTCTGCAAAAAAGGCTTTACTTTATGCCCAAACATAAATAAGAGGTCATGTTTCGTGATCTAGAAAAGAGAAATTGTTCTTCCAATATTTGCCTAGGCTATTTTCTTCCACACAATGAAATATTTTTCTATGCTGTTTTCTTAAGTGTAAATAAGGTTACAAGAGAGAGTATTCAACCAAAACAATTATAATTGGCTACAAACATAATCCAATAACCTCATTTGACCCATATTGTTAAAAGAGTTAATTGGACCTGCACAGCCACCAGCTAAATGTGTTGCTGTAGGCAAACAGTGAATCCAATTTCCTCCATAAACATAGCTCTGCAGAAGTGGAGTACATGAAGGGCACAGGAGAGAAGATTCTAGGGTGTAAGCTACAAAGATTATCCATTTGTTTCCAGTTATCTGATCTTACCAGTTCAGAAAGAATAAAGAGAGAGAATATTTATATATCTATCATCTATATATCTTTTTAATAGAAACAAGTAAACAAAAAGAAATAATAACTTGAATTACAAACAAGCTTAACTCAAATTAGCAGAAAAGAGCTCCCCTTCTTTCTGCCTCAAACATCTACTAAACATTGCACCTAATATAATATCTTTATGTATTAGTCTAGAGGAGAGGGGTGTTTTTGTCCCCATAATTGCTTTTTTTCGGTCTTCTGGGTACATCAACATGTTTTTCTCTCTAACAATTCAGAATACAGTAAGACTTTTTAAAAATATCTTGCTGACTTAGTAGTGCTGCCTTTCAGGTCAGTAGTAACCTCATCGGGGGTCTTAGAAAGATATACGTGTGTATGGATTTGTGTTCCCACTGTATTCCTCATTCACACTGCAACCTGGGCAAGTTAGGGAGCATTTTTAAGTCTTTCTTTGTTTGCCCCTGAAAGAGAGTCATAACTGTGTCTTTATTTTACTCATGGGGCCAATAAAAGATTAAATGTAAATGGATTCTTCAAGTTTAAAATACACACAGATGTGAGAAAGTATTCAACAAATAAATTCAACAAACAATAATGTAAATAAGTACAAAAGAGAAAAGTTACTTCCAAATGCAAGTGATTTTTCAATCTCTTAGAACCTAAGTTATGTCTCAACAGCGAATTTCCAGGAAAATCTCTCCCTTGAGTGTTTTCTGATGATATTTTAAAAATTCAGATTTTAGGTGTTGTGGCTTTTAAATACCCTTTATAATTGGGGCTCTCGCCAGATTCAAATGGCTAGTCATTTAATTAGTCCAAATTAGTAAGCTTATATGCCAGCCACTTTTATGGTCTGAGTTGACAAGCCTCAGAATTGGAAATTTATGTTCATAAACTCCATTTTCTTATGGAAAATAACGCATTTTCCTCTGTACATTTTATTAATAACTTCTGCTTTCCAAGATGTTCCTTAAATGAAGAAGAGGAGAAAGAGAATACTGGTCCCTCCAAGCTCTGTGTTAGACCATTTACAAATGCTAAGTGTTTGAGCTTTCCTTTAACATATTATTCAGTGTTCAGTAACCCATTTGTGTCTCAGAAAAGAAACCATCCCCTTACTTGCTTTGGGGATCTTAAATCCGCAAAGTACTTTGCACAGTTAGTGTTCAACCTTATATTTGCCAAATCTCTCCCTATGTATGTGTTTCTCAACAGTACACTCAGTATTATGATATAAGCAGCAGGAGTCAAAATTAAGGTAATCTTAGTTGTTAGTGTAAAAATAATTGTCATTATAAAAGATTTATGGAGCTTAAAGTTCTGTAGGGGAGATGAACCATGAGCCCAAAAAGTTAATGAACAATGCAAAACATTGTATCATTAAGGAAATCAATTTGTAAACCTATTTGTCAAAGTTATAGTAATGGAGAAAAGAGAGAATACAAAACTCAGTAAAAACTTTTTGGAGGTGAGACATGAATTGAGCCTGGTGCTGCAGGAAGAGGGGTAGCTGGGATATAAATAGAATAAAATGTGAGAAAAGAACTTCCAGATTGGGTTTCAATGAGGGACCACAGTGCATAGCTATTGATGCAGTTGGGTGAGTATAGCACACTACTCTTTTTTGTCTTTTTCTTTAAATGAAGGTAAATTCATGCATGTGAATGATTTGGAATTTTCCTAGTTTATGTACCCTCAATGAGCATGTAAGTGTTTTGTCTGAATTTAATTCCCTTCTTGGCATAGAAATCTACTTCTTGAAATACTCCTCCCTAGCTCAAGTTATAGTGTCTAAGATTTCCCTCCCTCCCCCAAACCCTCCTGAATATATAAAACTGCTGGCCATACTTGATTGGTTCAGGATAGGACTCTGACTTTACCTCAACAAATGAGTCACCTATCAAATATATTTTTTAAATCTTGGAACAAGGGAAATCGTTAGGTCAGTTTCTCCCTATGATCTGTAAGATGTGAAAGGCAGATGCTCTCAATAATCATGTGTTTGGTCAAGAAGAAAGCTTCTATGACGTAGTAGAGAAGAATGAGGTTGATGCAGAGAGAAATGGGGATGAGGATAAAAGAGAGAGAGAGAGACAGAGACAGAGGGATGATCTTAAGAATCTCAATGGTTGTGTTCTTTCTATGACCCAACCACAATCTTGTTCTTGGTTAAATTTTTTAGTGCTTACAAGTAAAAATATACTAACTTATTAGCAAATAAACAATGATATGGAAACACCAAGTTCAGCCTGTGCTTGTCCACAAATACCATTGTGAAAAGTGAGGTAACTCAGACACAGAAAGACAAATAACACACGTTCTCACTTATAAGTGGGAGCTAAATAATGTGTACAAATGGACATAGAGTGTTCAGTGATAGCTAACAGGGACTTAGAAGAGAGAGGGGTTGGAGGGGGATAATGAGAAATTACTTACTGGGTTCAATGATCAGTAATCAGGTGATGGATACACTGAAAGCCCTGACTTCACCACTATGTAATATGTCCATGTAACGAAATTACACTTGTACCCCATAAATTTATACAAATAAAAAATTAATAAATAATAAAGATATCCCTTCTGGTTGCCTCATAGCCATAGGACTTATCAAATGGAACACATAATGTCTTCCAGCGCCTATTCACCCTCCCCTTAACTTATTGTCTTTGTGCAATAAGCAATCTATATAACCAGTCACAGCAAGCTTAGATTTCCGGGATCTTTAGCTTTTGTTGTAAGGACCATTTTGGTTTAATGATTCCTCTCTATTTTCTATTAAATAAAAACTCCACTCACTTATTTGTTACAAAGAAGTCACAACATCCTGGGGTGTTCACCTGAAATACATACCACTGGTATGAAGCCCTCCGATCCCCAGGAAATGGGTTCATGATCACTTTCTTTCTGTGATACCCCCTGCAACAACATAACATGACAACATTTCTATTTTTAATGAGGGAAGGAATTAGCAATGGGTATGAATGAAAAATGTGGGCAAAGAAGAGCCAGTCCTATTTGCCTTTAGTCTTATTATTTGAATAGTCTATGCAGGAAAATGTAACCTGGTTCCTGAGTTATGAATAATTCTGGCAGTTACACTAAGCCAGGACACCAAATAGTGTTTCTAGACAAATTGAAAATGGTATGTACACATTATATTGCAGCACCAAATGAGGTCATAATGCAAACAGAATGCTGGTTGCAGAAATTGTTATCCCTTAGCAGGTTTGGTCATGCCCTAAGGCCTCTATAAACAGAAGAAGCCCTCCCCAAGTCTTGGGAAAAGGCTAGGACATTATATTTTGTGTGTAGAGGTGAGAGGCTTATAGTGGTAAATTCTTCAGCATACATTTTTGCATGATTTGTAAATATTTTTAAAAAGAATAATATAATTTAGCTTGTCAGCTCTGGGATGAAAGAAGCCATTTTATCTATAAATGTGATTCCTGGCAGGCTAGCTGAATATGGAACAAAGAGGGAATTACCTTACCTATAACACAGAAACCTTTCAGCAATAGATTTAAAGATAAAGAAGACAATCTCATTAGGAGACCTGTAGCTTATGATTTATGAAGCCAGTCAATCAACAAATATTTATGTGATGAGTAGGAAATGTAGTCAAAGACACAATTTCTGCCTCTAATTTAGCATAATTTCTTGTCATCCTCAGAGAATTTGTTTAGATCTTCATTTTCTTTCATCAATATTATAACAATAGCTTTTAGTATCTCTGCTCTTAATGTTGCCTCCTTGAACTCTGTAGCCAGAGTTATTTGCTAAATTGCAAAAGCATTGTAAGTTCTACAATCAGACTGTGTTAGTTCAAATCCTGTCTCTGTTACACTCTAAGTATACACTTGGTCAAGCTGCCTAACTTCTCAGGATCTTCCTTTCTTCATCTATGAAATGGAGGTTCAAATAGCATCTACCTTGCAAGGATGTTATGAAGTATAGACAATGCATATATGTCTAAATTACTTAGAGTAATGTGTTGCTCTTGGCAAGGGCTCAAGAAGTGTTAGTTATCTCTATAATGTCAAACTGCCATCTTAAAAACAAACTAGGAATGTCCTACTGCCTATCAAAGCTGGTCTAGATTATTCACCAAGACATTGTATAGCATTTCAAAACCTGGCTTCAGCATTTTATATCACCTTCTCCTCCCTCATATATTTATTTTGTCATTTATTCTGAACTCACAGAACTCCATTCTATACAGTCTTTTCGTTGTCACTGCTCTTTGTGTCCACCATACCCCTCCTTTTCTGCTGCGTATGGTAAACAGCTGTTCATCCTTCAAGGTGAGTCCTTGAAAGGCAGTGCTCAAGAGTGTTAGGAATGAAATGGTCTGAATTAGAATCTCTTGGCTTCATCACTTACCTACCAAATGATCTTGGGTACACTATGTTAATGTTTGTGACTTATTTTTCTTAGCTGTATTTTTTTTATGTGCAAATTGCATTTTATCACTCACAGAGTAGGAGTTACGAAAAGTCAATGAAATAGCACAGCCGCAATACTTAGAACACTGACCGGCATAGGGTAGAAGCAGTAATTGTGCCCCAACCCAATTATCTTCTTTGTGATGTCTTTGCTAATGCCTCAGGACAGAACAAGTCATTTTTTTATGATTTGTTTATTAGTCAGGGTTCTCCAGAGAAAACAGAACCAATAAGATATGTCTCTCTGTCTCCCTCTATAATATGGTTAGATAGATAGATAGATAGATAGATAGATAGATAGATAGATAGATAGATGATAGATAGATAGATAGATAGATAGATAGATAGATAGATAGATAGATTTCAAGTAACTTGCTCAGTTGATTGATGGTAGGGGAAGGCAAGTTCAAATTCTGCAAAAAATTCTGACAAGAGTTAATGTTGCAGTCTTGAGGCCAAGGCAGTCTGGAGAAGAATTTCTTCCTCTTTGTGGGGACCTCAATCTTATCTCTTAAGACCTTCAACTGATCTGATGAGGACCATCTTCATAATGAAGGATAATCTGCTTTACTCAAAATCTACTGGTTTAAATGTTAATCACATCTAAAAAGTACCTTCACAATACCTATACTAGTGTTTGACCAAACAGCTGGGCACCTTCACCTCTCCATGTTGACACATTAAAAATTAACCATCACAATTCTATAACACTATTCATGGCATTTATTAACTTGAATAGTAACTTTAAGATTATAGGTCTGTACTGTAATCTGCATGAATGGACTGTAATCTGCTTGAATGCTAATAAAAGGTCTCCTTTTATTATAGATCTTCATTTTCTTTCATCAAAATTATGACAACAGCTTTCAGTATCTCTGATCTTAATGCTGCCTCCTTGAGCTCTGTAGCCAGAGTTATTTTGCTAAATCACAAAAGGATTGTAAATTCTTTTTGCTAAATCCCAAAAAGATTGTAAAGATTGTAAACTAACTATGTTAGTTCAAATTCTGGCTCTGTTACTCTCCAAGTATAACCTTGGTCAAGCTGCCTAACTTTTCAGCATTTTGATTTCTACAAAGGGATTCCTTTTATTAGTTATATCTCATATCTGCCATTGGTGCAAAGCACAGTTTCTTAAAAACAGTAGGTTAGGTACATATTGTGGCTCCAAACAAACCAAGATGTAGAAAATTTTCATCATAATAAAAATATTCAGTATTACTCCTCAGTCATCCACCGTCATCCCTACCCCTGGCAATCACAGATCTGATCTCTGTTCCTACAAAGTTGTTTCACAAGTTCAGGCCTTTATGAGTTATGTGGTTTCTTACATTTAGCAAAATATTTGTAAAATTCATTTATTTTCAGTGTATCAACAGTTTATCCCTTTTTGTATTTGAGTAGTATTTTATGAATATTTAATGTTTTTAATTCACTCGTTCATGGACAATTTACAGTTTGGGGCTACTGTGAATAAAATTCTTAGGAATATTTGCATTACAAGACTTTTGTAGATATATGTTTTCATGTCTATTTGTCATGTGATAAGTGGATGGTTAAGTTTAAAAGTACTTAATAAATTGTTTGCCAGCATAATTGTATCATTTTGTACTTAAACCAGCAATGTATCAGAATTTGAGTTAATTATGTGTCTCTGCAGAGTTTGGAAATTTTCCATTTTATTACTTCTAACATTTCAGTGATGTGCAGTGATACTTTATTGTGTTTTTAATGTTCATTTCTTGAATATTAATGTGTTACATATTTTTATGTTATCATTGGACTTGTGTCTGTATATATGTGTGTGTTTGTAACTTTTAAAATATTTGTGTATTTAAAAATTTAAATTTTATGTAATTATGGCTATAGTGGCATCTCACAATTTTGATATATCATATTTCATTATCATTCAATTCAAAGTGTTTTCTAATTTCCCTTGTGATTTCCATTTTGACTAATGGGTTATTCATAAGTGCATCATTTAATGTCCAAATACCTGGGCTTTATTTCCCAATACCTTTAAAAAATTCATTATTAATATAATTACATTTTGACAGAGAGCTTACTCTATATGACCTCAATGTTTCTAAAATTCATTGAAAAGTTTGTTATATGACCCAATATGTTTTATTTTGGTGCATTTTCTACATATCCTTAAAATAAATGTGTATTATGCAGTTGTTGGGCGTAATGTTTTGTAAATGTAATGTCAATCAACTTGGTTGATAGTGCTATTTATCTTATTTTTTGTCTCCTCTTTCTCAATGTGGATAGAAATATTTCCATTTCTTCTACTTCTGTCAGTTATTTTTCATGTATTTTGAGGCTCTGCTATTAAATTCATGTACATTTAGGTATTTGTGTTTTATTTAGTAGTTAACTATTTTCATTATGAATTATCCTTATTTTAATCCCTTTTAATAGATAACATTCTAAAGCCTTCTTTGATGTTAATATAGCCACCTCAGCTTTCTTTGGATTAGTATTTGGTATATCTTGTCTCATCTCTTTTACTTGTTACCTATCTGTGGTTTTATATTTAAAGATCATTTCTTATAGAACACATGTAGATGTAACTTGCCTTTTTATACAATCTGAAACTATCTGACTTTTAATTACTGTGTTTAATTCATTTACATTTAATGTAAGTATTGGTACAGTTTGCTTTAAGTCCATCTTCTTGATATTATTATTAACCTTTCTATATCTTCTTTATATCATTTTTTTCTGCCTTCCTTTGGAATAATTAACTATTATTTAGAATTTTATATTATGTACTCTATTTTCATATTACCTATAACCCTGTGTTAATCGTTTTTCAGTGATTATTCTAGGGTTTATAATATGCTTCCTTATCATAATCCATCTTCAAATAATTATCATGCCACTTCACATATAATGTAACTCGCATTTTCCCCTAAGCCTTCTTTTATGTCCCTATGGTCATAATGTTATCATTGCATATGTTATAAACCCCTCTATTATTTTTTCTTTAAAGTCAATTGCCTCTTAAATAAATTAGAAAAATTAGTTCATTTTATTATATATATTTTCCAATTTAACATTTATGGCTGTCTTCATTCTTTTGTTTAGATCTGAGTTGTATCTGGTATCATTTTCCTTTCAGCTGAATGGACATATTTTAATAATTTCTGTGCCGTCATTTGACTACTACTTCATTATTTTTCAATATACCCATTTACAGCTATAAATTCTTCTCTCAGCACAGATTTTGCTGCACCCCATAGGTTTTGATATATTGTATCCTCATTTTCATTCATTTCAAAGTGTTTTCTGATTTTCCTTTTTTTTATCGTATTAGTTACTTAGAAGTGTATTATTTGATTTTACATATTCATAGTTTTCTGAATTTCCTTTTGTCATTGATTTCTCATTTCAATGCACTGTGGCTGGAAAACATACTTTATATGATTTTAATTATTGTATATTTATTGAGAATTGTTTTATGGCATAACGTATGGTTTATTCTGAAGAATCCTGCTGTTGGGTGGAGTGTCCTATAGATATGTTAATCTAATTGGTGTATAGTGTAACCTCAGTCATCATTTTTCCTGATTGATCTTCTTAGGAGTTGTTCTATACATTATTGAATATGGTGTATTGAAGACTCCAATACTCCTACTAGTTTCTGCCAAGAGCCTCTTTACATGTGTTAGTGCTTGCTCTCAATGCTTGGGCAGGAAGTTCACAATTCAGTCTTAGCCTTAACTTCTTGATTGCACAGAGCCTCAAGGTCAGACAGAAGTAGCAGTGTAGAGTCTTCTTGAGGTTTTTCATGGACATGTGCATAGTTCTGGGCATGAGTACAGCCATGTGTCTGTGCATGTGGTCTTCTACATTCCCAAAAATATATCAGATTTTCAAAATAGCCCTCTATGAACATCCATTTCACTAGCGTTTTCCACTATTATTTTCACATTTCCTTTTTTATTTAGTGAGCTGTTTTGGCCCCAGCTTGTACTTCCAATCAGGCAAATGTGATGATAAACAACTGGTGTACACACACACACACACACACACACACATACAAACACACACACAAATACAGACACCCCTGGGTTAAATTGTGCTCACAACAAGTGAGCTTGCAGTTAGATCAAAGAAAAGACAGTTGAGATGATCAGT
The DNA here is from genome assembly GCF_000001405.40 of Homo sapiens. Lineage (NCBI taxonomy): Eukaryota > Metazoa > Chordata > Mammalia > Primates > Hominidae > Homo > Homo sapiens. Next base: position 107,605,904 of record NC_000010.11, on the reverse strand, counting down.
TCAAAGGATACAAAACTTCGGTTTTATAGGAGGTATAAGTTCAAGAGATCTACTGTACAATGTAGTGATTATAATTAATAACAATGTATTTCAGTCTTAAAAGTCACTTACAGAGTAGCATTTGAGTGTTGTCACCACAAAAAATATGTGAAGCAGTACTTACGTTAATTAACTTGATTTAGCCATTCTACAATGTATTTATATTTAAAACAACATGTTGTACACAAAAATATACAATTTTTGTAGATTTAAAAAAAAGACAAGTGACTGAAGCTTAATAGGAAACTGTCAGACTGACTAAATGTGAACAATTTGGGAGAATGGGTTTTTGCAGGAGCTCCCTCCAACCCTGTTCTGCCCCTTGTCGGGGCAGCCTAGTCCTTAGTTTTCACCATGATTGTGGGGCCATTAGTTTTCAAGGCTACCACAGAGCTGGAGAGAGGGAAAGGGGATAGGACAAGTTAAAATACCACAAAGTTCACCATTCTTACTAATGTTCAGTCATTTCTCTTAAATAAATGCTCCACAAATTGATACAAGCATTTGGTTAATTTCTAGAGTTTTGAAAGAATTTGAGCTTGACAGTTTTTGCAACTGTACTCATTACCTTATGGAGAAGAGGAGAGAATTTTCTGATGTCCTTACAACATCATTTGCACTGATGTCACCCAGATGTAATTTTATTTTATTTTTATTCTTTTGTAAGTAATGCTTTTATTCCCCTTCTGGTGCTTTAATTTTTTCATCTTTATCTATATTTTTAGCAATCTGATTAGAATATGCCCTTTCTTGGTGATTTCTTGATTCAGGTTATTTTAGCTTCTTGGCTTTGTAGGCTGGTTTATTTTTCCTAAAATTTGAACAGTGTTGGCTTTTTTTCCCTAGCATCACCATCTCTCTTTTCCTTCTCTAATTACGCATGTGTAGAAAATCTGATAATGTCACTTATCCTTGAGTATTTTTAATCCTTTTATTTTCCTGATTGATTTAAGTTGCATAATTTCTGTAACTATTTACTCATATTCATTGTTTCTTTTTCTGCTGTATCTAATCTGCTGACATGCCAGTGATTTTTTTCTTAAGTTCTAAGATATGATATTTTTCATCTCTACAAATTCTATTAGGTTACTTTTAAAATTACCCATTTCTCTGTGCATTATCTTTGTTTTTCCTTTAATTCACTGGATTTATTTATAATAAATATAATAACATCCTTCTCTGCAAATCCCATAATACCTCTTATTTTTAGCATGTTTCTTATGATTAATTTCTCTCTTGGGTATGGTAAATATTTTAAATTTCTTCTCATGATTAGTCATTTTTCATTGTTGCAAACCGAATTTTCTGAAGTTGTATGCTTGATTTTATGTTCTTTCTACATTTACAGGTCACTGAACTTTGATCTAGCAGGCAATTAAATTACTTATGGAAAAGCTTAATTCTTTCAAGATCAATTTTGGCTTCATTGGGATAAGTTTAGAGTAGCCTTTATTTGTTAGCTAGTTTGACACTACAAATGCTTCTTGGGTTCCTACTGAATATGCCAGCTGTTCATAACGACTCTCCCCTCTAGTTGGTTAAAACTTGAAAATCCCCAATCCCGGTGTGAACTCTTGGATTTATTTAGCTTTCAGTTTCTTGTTAATTCTTTGCTCAGTCTCATGGAGTTTCGCGTACGTTTCTTAGTAGTTAACCCTAAGATCACAAGGACTTGAATGTAGATTTCTGATATTCTTCCTGCACTCTAAACTCTGAGTTCAACTCAGCAAACCTACTAAGTTACATCACTCTGCTTCTCAAATTGTGATCTAGAAATTATCGCTAGCCAGGATAATTATAGGACTGACATTATGCTAATTATCTTTCCATCAGGGATCAGAGTCTTGCATGGCCTGTTGGCTGACAATTGAAAAAAGTTGTTACACTTACTTTGTTGTTTTCTCTTTGTTGAAAGCAGGAGAGTTAAGTCCAGTTTCAGCTATAGCATCAAGGTCGGAAGAAGAAGTTCCAGGCTTTCCAGTTTATTTTTAACTCCTTGTTATTTTGGTCTTTTCCTTCCAAAAATTAATTTTCATGAATGGTAATATAAAATTGCATTAAAATATTTATTAACAGTAATAGTAGGAAAGGCATAGGTATCTTGCTTAACCCCCTCCCTTGCCCAATAAACCTTCCGAAAGCAATTACTTTTCTTTCTTTTACCTGTTTATTGAAACAGATTAGGCATTAATTCTCTGGATTTTCTTCCCAATGCTGACGCTGATTTGTTACTCTTGATTAAGAATATTTCTTTTGTGCATTCCTAAGCCAGTCCTACTCTCAGTACATTAATGCTACTACCATCTTATTTTATTATTTTAAATTGTTATTCTTTTCCTTTTTTTCTCTGTTGTTTTGAGATGGGATGTCACTCTGTCACCCAGGCTGGAGTGCAGTGAGCTGCAATGTCAGCCCCCTGCAACCTCTGCCTCCTGGGCTCCAGGGATCCCTCCCACCTCAGCCTCTTGAGTGCTGGGACCACAGGCACGCACCACCATGTAACTAATTTTTGCTATTATATTCAAGGATGAAACAAGAAGTTAATTAATCACATCAGCTTGTACCAAGACATCTGCATTGACACATTCAGATGAGAAGTGTTATGAAACAGTGGTTAAAGCCCCTGTCTTTAGATTTAGACATTCCCATTTCTGGCACTTAGAAACTTTGTAGCTTTCTGCAAGTTGCAGAACTCACTCTATTTCATTTGTATAATGGCTACAGTGAGATTGCCTACTTCATAGACATTTTTCCTGAGAAGGAAATGAGATAATGCCAGTAAACTACTTAGCCTAGTATATAGTGTATCTGTTGCATGGTAAACACATTTTTTATCAATATGGTAGAGAAGAAGAAAGAGGCTTTAGAGGGAAGAGGAGCAGGAAGAGGAAGAGGAAGAGGAGGAAGAAGAAGAGGAGGGAGAGGGAGGGGGAGGGGGAGGAGATGAAGAAGAACAAGAGGAAGGGGAAGAAGAAGCAGAAGGAGAAGAAGGAAAGAAGTCATAAAGTGCCAAGAATGATCAAGTTTTGTAGGAAGCCTTGGGTGGGCTCTTGCAAACTTAATGTTTAATAAAGGAGTTTAGCTCTGCCATTGTGAAGGAAAAAATCGGCTCATTAAAAAAAATATAAGCCCATTACTATTGATAGGTAAGCTATCTAACTTTACTTCTCTACCAGGGGGATATTTGATCTGTCACTTGGTAACTATGTTAGTTAAATACCTTGAAAAGTTGTAGGAGTAATTCACTAAGGGCAATATCTACCATATCATTCTAACACTTCTGTGTTACAGCCAGGGACAGTTACACAGCACCACTATTTCCAGGGCTTCTAGGTAACTTCCAGTCAATGTTTCAAACCTCTCCTGACAGAAAGAGACAGAACCTGCCATGTTCCCAAAGACAGGTTGCCCCTGAGTACATACTCAGTAATAGAATTAAGGCTTCATATAGGTGAACAACTATATTATGATATATTTGTCCATTTTTACACTGCTAGAATAAAATTCACCTAGGAAAATAACCTGCTATAAACAAAAATATAAAGCTACATAGAGATCATGTTAGAGTTTAACTGTCTCTGCCTTTCACATTGAGTAAAACTGGACTGCTGCATTACATCTGTCAGATATGGATATAGTCACTTATACAAAATCAGCATGCTAGCTTAGGAACCACTTTCATAACCAACTTATTTACTTTGGTTTTCATAATATGTAGATATAGATATGCACACACATGTATGTGTGTGTGTGTGTACAATTCCATCATTTCTGACAAAATAAAATGCAGGACAGGGAAAATACCAGATAGAAAGCCAATTTTATTTGGAATAAGTGTGTTTTTGATCACAAATGTGTGACTTCTATGTGACATGAAGATGATAATACAATATCCACTCCAAGTAGTCCATCTTAACACTGAACCTCTTCTAATTCCAGAAAGGCAGTTGCCCATGAGAAAGCTACATTTTTTTTTTGTTTTTCAAAAAGTAAGTCTCCGTTGTCAGCATATTCCTCACTGATACAACAACTGAAAGGTACTTAAGAGTTGCATTTAGAACATGTGCCTTAGGGCACACAACATATTTGTTGATTAAAAATGCAGTCAGGGACTGTTTACTGGTTTTTTGCACCAGAAATTTTGCATGTATTCTCATAATAACCATGCATGATAGTTTGTTTTATAAATTAAGAGAGAGAGGCTCAACGATGGTGTCTAAGGATACAGCCGGTATGTTACAAAGCAGAGGCCAGTTCCATATTTATTCAAAGTCTATTCATTCTCTGTTGCATCAAGATGAAAATAGGAAGAAAAAGGCAGATGGGATTATCTTTATTATATATGTCAAACCAAAAGTGAACTGGGCAATATTAGGCAAGAAGGACATTATTGAAGGCTATTGCAATAGAGGAAAAAGACCAAAAATGAGTCTGAACTTAACTCACTGAAACAAACAAATAATAATAACTAAAAAAAGAAGTGGAGTTTTAAGAACTGGGATGAGGGAGCGATCATAGGCCATCTATGTTTGCTAATTGGCATTACCCAAAGAAAAAGTAAACCTTCTGATATCTTCATTACTACCTGAGGTAGTTGTACAACTTGGGTTAAAGCCCTCAGCTCCCACAGAAAATGAAAGATATGGCCACTCTCTTCCTTGATGATTATACTTCAAAGAGATGATGCTAGGTTTTTGAGGAAGACATTCCTGGATGATAAAACTGGCAAGATGCTTTTTTTTTTTTTTTTTTTTTTTTTTTTTTTTTTTTTTTTTTTTGAGACGGAGTCTCGCTCTGTCGCCCAGGCTGGAGTGCAGTGGCGGGATCTCGGCTCACTGCAAGCTCCGCCTCCCGGGTTCACGCCATTCTCCTGCCTCAGCCTCCCAAGTAGCTGGGACTACAGGCGCCCGCCACTACGCCCGGCTAATTTTTTTTTTTTTGTATTTTTAGTAGAGACGGGGTTTCACCGTTTTAGCCGGGATGGTCTCGATCTCCTGACCTCGTGATCCGCCCGCCTCGGCCTCCCAAAGTGCGCAAGATGCTTTTAAAATGATCTACATCTCAAAGGCGCAGAAAAAGGATTTATAAGTATGAGTTTCTAAAGTAAATGCTCTAAGAAAAAGGAAGTCAGGAGTCTAGGGACGGAAGGAATCCTCTCCAAAGTTTAATCAAGCTGAGGGAAACATTAAGGCAATGCTGATCAATATGTATACAACAGTCTCCTTTATCACCAGTTTTGCTTAATGGGATTTCAGTTACCCAAGGTCAACCATAATCCAAAAATATTAAGTGGAAAATTCCAGAAATAATACAGAACTTTTAAATTGTTCCCAGTAGCATGATGAAATCTCACACTGTCCTGCTCTGGCCCACCCAGGATGTGAATCGTACCTTTGTCCAGTGTATCCATGCTGTATACCATACCTGCTCATTAGTCACTTCGGAGCCCTCTTATTTATCACATCGTATAAACATAATACATGTGGAGTTCAGGACTATCTGCGATCTCAGGCATCCACTGGAGTCATGGAACATATCCTAGTAGATAACAGAGGGCTTCTGTATGTCTCTGCCTAGCTTCTTCCCTCTTCGTTGCCTATTGTGTCTTTCTCGTATTTCTCTGTCTCCCTAATTTCTTATTTATCATCTCATTATTGGCAAAGGATTAAAAAAATGTAAAATACGAATCTTATGAAAATATAAACACTCCTAATAGCTCACTATTAAAGTAAGATTTGCCTATGGATAATGGCCCTATTATTCATGAAAGCCTTCTCTCTGGACATTTTTTTCTGTCTTACATCTTTTAAAACCATTTCTTCCAGTGATTCCTCATGTCCTCCAAGGATCATAGTCTAGCACAGGTTGTCTAAAATTATGTGTTGTTGTTGCTGTTACTGTTTTCCTTCATTTATCTTTAGAGTTTCTCTACTGATGCATTTCATTGTCTTTTTGCCCAGTGTTTCCACACTTAAATATTAGGTAAATCATGTGTGATATTGTAAGCAGCAGCAAATCCATATGAGTCTGCAGCAATCTAAATTCTTACCTTTCTGAAAGAAAGAATTTGACCAAGAAGCATAAGGCAGAGTGAGAGACAGAGGCAAGTTTCAGAACAAGAGAGACATTTATCAAAAAGTTTTAGGGTCGGGCGCAGTGGCTCACGCCTGTAATCCCTGCACTTTAGGAGGCTGAGGCGGGTGGATCACCAGGTCAGGAGATCGAGACCATCCTGGCTAACACAGTGAAACCCCGTCTCTACTAAAAATACAAAAAAAAAAAAAAAATTAGCCTGGCGTCGTGGAGGCACCTGTAGTCCCAGCTACTGGGGAGGCTGAGGCAGGAGAATGGCGTGAACCCAGGAGGCAGAGCTTACAGTGAGCCGAGATCGCACCACTGCACTCCAGCGTAGGTGACAGAGCGAGACTCCGTTTAAAAAAATAAAATAAAATAAAATAAAATAAAAAGTTTTAGAACAGGAATGATAGGAGGCAAAGTACACTTGGAAGAAGGCCAAGTGGGTGACTTGAAAGATTTAAGTCAGCAGTTTGACCTTAGACTTGGGTCTTATACATTGGCATGCTTCTGGGGTTGCGTTACTTCTCCCTTGATTCTTCCCTTGGGGTGGGCTGTCTGCATGTGCAGTGGCCTGTCAGCACTTGGGAGGTGAGCGTGCACAGTGTGTTTACTGAAGTTGAGCACAGGCTCACTTGAGGTGTTTTCCTTTACCAGTTGAGTGTCCTAGAGGAAGGCCATATACCAGTTAAACTCCACCATTTTGCCTCTTAATGCACATGCTTGAGCCCACTTGCCCAACTCCTGAGAACTTACCTGGAAGCGGCTGATCATCAGTTTCAGGTGTTTTCTGTCTGTTGGGAGCCTGCCTTTCCCTGGTGCTGGCTGCAACCAATTATTATTTTAGACAGACTTTTAACAACCACCTGACCATCACCTGATGGTCACCTGAACATTTCTGGGGGTGGGGGCCCTCTCCTTCCCTGCTCATGTCTGCCTAACAATCTACTGTAACAATATGTGCTTGGATTAATTTTTAGATATTCATCTTGCTTTCTTAACTGGAGAGTTGTGAAAAAAATGAAACAGAGGCTTGGTGAAATGAGAGTCTTAAGAGTGTCTAAAAGCATTCCATTTCACTAGCTGAGCCTCTCTCATCTTCTCTTCTCTCTGTCTCTCTCTCCCACTCTCTCTCTCTTTCTCTCCCTCTCTCACTTTCTCTATCTCTCTGTCTCTCTCTCCTTCATTTATAACTATCCCCTTCATTTATAACTGTAAACTCTAGTCTGCTGTATCTGAGTTCTTTCTCCAGCCATGTTAAACTCAGGTCCTACATGACAGAAAGCAAAGTTGAAGGGAACTAACTTGAGAAGGCTGCATTTGAAACACAACTCTGTTCACTCTTCAAATAACTCCTCTGGGTAAATGCTGTTACCCTGAAAATATGATCTTAGAATAAGAATATTTGAAAAATGAGCGCATTATAAGAATATAAGCAGTAAAGGGAACTTCACATATAGCAGAAAATTAGAAGGAATATAAAAAATGCCAATAGTAGGAGAGCCTAGGTTGCTGTCTATCAAGTGATAATGCTATCCATCCTACTACATTAAGTAGAAGTCTAAATTCTGAAACATTCACAAAGAGGATGAAAGCAGGGAAGCTGACTTACAACTTAGAACTCTAGTTTAATAAATGTCATGCTGCCCAGACAAAGGGGGGAGAAATGAACAAAGGTAAATGTCCATCTACAAGTTCTTTTTAATCTTTTGCTTTTTCGAACATCTCACTTATGAAATAAGAATGAAATATAAAAATTTATATTTATATAAATATAAATATAAACACACATGCTTTGTATAGTATATTGAAATTTTCTATAGATAGAAAAGAGATAGACTACATCTTTCCAGTATTTCTGTCATCCAGGTATATTTAAATATTATATTTTTGTGAAAAATCAATGAGAGTCCTGTTGGTGGTAGACTCATGACAGAGGGGACATAGGGTCCTCAAGACTGACCATAGAAGTTAACCTCAGAACAGCCTCATGGTCTGATGACATTGGCTCCTTTGTCATGCACAAGAGCCAGAATTCAGTCATCACTACTACACTTAGATAAAAGTCTTCCAATGGAATGAAGGCAAATAAAACACTTGACCCATGGAAGACATGCCAACCAATGGCAGGAGAAAGCCTGGGGAATGGGCAGTTTACGGGGGCCTCATTCCTAAGGGCCTTTTATTTATCAAGATTGTAATGACCCTCTGCATTTTTCCTACTAGTAACACTCAACTAGAGATTTTCTTGTGTCTTTTTCCCTTACATTGTATTTCTAAAAAGCAAGCTGAGGAAATAATGACTGTATATGAGATAAGTGCACTGATTAAGTATCCAGGAAAACCAGCCAATGATTCCATTGAATTCTTTATTATGAAGACATATTTTAAACAGGCAACAAATAGCGCTTGAGAATATAAATTGCCTGGAGTACTAAAGAAGCTAGTTGTGCGTTTGCTTAATAAAAGCATGGAAGACAAGCAAGTGATTTTCCATTAGATATACCTTTCTTTTGCACTCTTAAATGGACAATTTGAATAACCCTCAACAACTTTTATTCAGTGATAGATAACCCAGATCATGCATATTCTGAAGTCACAAAATAGTGAAGCTTCAGATGAAACTCTGTCAAGTACCTTGAGTTAAGAAGAACATTCAGTAAATCGATGAATTAAAGGGAAAGAGGGACATTCAGCAAATTAACAAAGCAGGGGTCTACTTTCTTCTCCTGTGAAAAATTTATTTTTCACATGCTCAAAATTAATAGTTAATTGTAAAAACAGAACTTGAGGGAAGTCTTGATTTGAAGTGATAAAATACATGAAGTTAAAACAAAAATGTGAAAACAAAAACACATTTTAATGGACACTAATGCCTTAATTAAGCTAGACCATCACATTGCAAACAAAATATTGCCCTTGATGGACAGACAGATGAATAATGAATTTGGTGATTTTTTTTTTTTTTTACTGCTTCAGATCTGAGATAGTTAATAATCTCTATTTATGATGTATATTTATGATGCATTTGTCACCAATCTTTGTGTTGTTAAGGAGACTAGTGGGTGCTCATCTGTTCTTTCTATATTATACTTACGTGACTGTCCTTAATTTGTGGTCAGAAGTGCTGTTTGGGAGCTTGTGGATTTAACTGACTTTGAGGCATGATTCCTGGTTGGTTCAAAGCACTTGCTCAGAATCAGCTGCCCTTACCTTTTAATTTTATATTGAACAAGCCTGTCTATTGCTACATTTCTCATTTTGTCTCTTGTTCTAGTTCTTTGTCATGCAGACATCAGGATACCTGTAAAGTGTTCCCATTCTTTTTGCTCACACAGCAGCTCTTTGCTTCTAGATGGAGTGAGACTTGTAAGCATAGTACATTGTACTACTGGGAATTACAGAGTTCCCAAATTTTTCTCATTAAATTCTCTACAAGGAAATTAAGAACAGAAATTGTATTCTGCCACTTACAAGCATGGAGAACTTTATTTCAATCCCATCTGGGATGCGATTTTTATTTAAACCAAAAAGAAGGAAAGAGGGGAAAAAAGAATAAAAGAGAGAGAGGTGGGGGAAAAGGGGGAAAGAGAGGGAAAAACAAAGGCAGGAAGAAGAAAGGAAGGAATCAAAGCAGAGGTTTGATTGTTTTCTTTCTATCATTTAAGCTTTTTACTACTGCATATTAATAAGCAATAGCCATTCTAGCCCCCCCACCCCCCATTTCCAGCTTACCAAACAACCAAGAAGGGCAAAGATGGTGGATATAACAGTTGTGACTTGTTTACTCTGGAGCAAGCCCCTATTTTAAGGTTGAAATTAGATCATATATCATCTTGGTGGTTAAGTACAGGTGTCATTGTTGCTGGCCAAGCTTTTGGGGAAAGCTACAAGATGACTGATGTCCCCGCTGTGGCTCTGAGGCAAGAAATCTGCCTCTCTTCACTCTACTCACCATTTATAATGATTGTGCCTTTCTTCCATCATTCCCCTTGACTTCATGAGCTGCGAGTTTTCTGGGAGAATGTGCTTGGTTCTCCTCGAGAGTTCTGTGTTCTGGCATTGCTTGCTGGCCTGGTTCCAAACAGCTTAGTCCCGAAAAAATTCAAGGTGGAAGGGTGACATGGATAGTGATATATACAATGACAGCTGATTTGAGTGGTGATGGGGCTTTAAAGTTAACCACTGAGCTATAGGAGCTTGGTGAAAACCTTTATGATAGAGGTTCTCATCCATATCCACCATGCTGCTCATTGGTGGCCATACGGAGCCATTATAAACAACAGCACTGGAGATGCCTGCCCCTTGTGGCATTAAAACAGCTACCCCAAACCCATTGCACTCTTCTGTAAAACCCCATTAATATGAATCCAAGTTTCCATAAAAATTAGCAGAGATATCCTATTGAGAACAAGGAACTTGAACTGATTTCATAGCCTTCAAAACCAAGCACAAGGTTTGTGAAAAATGAACTTTTTAAATTTGTGTGTCATCTCTCCCCTCTCTTCCCTGCACCATGTCCCTGTTCTTTCTAATTTACTCTCCTGTAACCCTTCCCGATTTCATGTCTCCAGAACCATCTTTTGCCTCATCTCTGCTGTGAAACATATACCACTACTACTTGTGAAAAAATGACTGGCTTGGGTTTTAAAAGAGTATCTCTACTTGGTCTTTCTAACAATCTCCTGTTCATCTTCAGCAGAAAATCCATTAGCTCCATAAATCAACACATTCTATCCAGAACTTCTCTTCTCCTTCCACAATCTCATTCAGTATTCATCATCCCCGTATATGGCATCACTATCTTTAGTATCCAAGCACAGAAATTCCTTTAATTTTTTTTCTCAAATCTCACATCTAATTGTCACCAATAGATGTTGAATTTGCATTAGACATTTTTTCTCAAGCTGTCAACTCTTTATTAACCACAGAAGTTACCAATGTATTTTTTCCCAACTGAATTACTACAAGAACCACAAACCTATTGACTTCAGTCTAGTTTCTTATTATCCATATCTCTGCATTATCAGTATGATTTTACTAAAATGCAAATCAATTGTTTCTTCCCTGTTTAAAATCCCATGATGGCTTCCTAAATCTCAGAGTATGAAGCTCAGACGCCTTAGGATTCATACCAGGTTCTTCATGATCTGTCAGCTTTCTGGCATTATATGCTAATTTCCCCCAAGTATATTCTTTGATTCCATGTCCATTTAAAGTGCCATGCTTCCAAGCTGGGTGTAGTGCCATGTGCCTGTAGTCCCAGCTGCTCAGGAGTCTAAGGCAGGAGAAATACTTGAGGCTAGGAGTTCGAGGCTACAGTGTGCTATGATCGTGCCTATGAATAGCCACTGCATTCCAGCCTGGGCAACATAGCAGGACCCGTGTCTAAATTTACAAAGAAGGGACTTAATTTTTTTTAAAGTGTCACGCTTTCAAATGATTCTGCAACTATGCACACGAGCACAGTTTCCTCTTAGAATCCGTCACTCACATTTCTTTCCCTAGACCCCAAAGGAGGCTCAAACATCATCTCCTATCATACTCTCCTTACAAAACAATGATTTTTACTTAGTTGTTTATTTTTTTACCCTATATTACACTATTTTCTAATTCTTTTTTTTTAATTTTCCACAGAGCTATAAGCTTACAATGCCAGGGCCTATATTTCAGTTTTTCTTTATTCTTGGGGACTAGCTTAGTGTGTGAGGTTTCTCTCTCTCTCTCTCTCTCTCTCTCTCTCTCTTCCTCTCTCCCTCTGCCCTCCCCCATCTGTCTGTCTCTGTCTCTCTCTTATCTCTTTCATATCTTTATGAGAGAGAATATATACATGTCTTAGTCCATTTGGGCTACTATAATAAAAATACCATATACTGGAAAGATTATAAAACAACAAAATTATTTTTTTATAGTTCTGAAGTCTGGGAAGTCCAAGATACAAGTGCTAGCAGATATTGTGTCTACTGGGGACCCACTCCTGGTTCACAGCCTTCTCTTCACTGTGTCTTCACACTGCAGAAGGGGGAAAGAGCTCTCTGAAGCACCTTATATAAGGGCATGGATCTCATTCATAACAGATCCATCCTCATGATCTGATCACCTTCAAAAATCCCCATCTCCAAATACCATCACATTGGGGAATTTGCTTTCAAGAAGTAAATTTATAAATTTTGGGGGGTGACAAACATGTGGGGTGTGTGTGTGTGTTTGTGTGTGTGTGTGTGTGTGTGCATGTGAGAAAGAGAGAGAGAGAGTCTCCACCATTCAGTATAGATTTGTTGAGCAAATGAATCACTAAAATAAATTTAGAAATAAATAGGAGATTTCAGTTGCAGCAAAGGAGAAAGTAGAGCTATATTTGCCTCCCTGCACAAAACAACTTAAAAAATAAAATACATGAAACAACAGTTTTCAAGACATTGGACATCAGGCGTCAGAAGACAATGACCCCTGAAAATAAGAATGCACACAATGAACTCTATGATTAACAGTTTACTGCTGGGAGAGCATATCTAAGTCATGGTATGGCAAGGTCCCCACCCAGTAGAGGCTGGCAGTCTCCTAAAGTTGAGCAGAGCTGAGAGTCAGTGGAAGCAAAGGCAGCTAGAGTTCCCAGGGCAGAATACAGGAGAGGAGAGACCTGCACAGAGGAGCACAAACATTCAGATTTGTTGTATGTGTTTAATAAACTGTCATTATCAACGTCATTTGAAAATGGCTGTCTTGGCCAGGCGCAGTGGCTCACACCTGTAATCCCAGCACTGTGGGAGTACGGGGTGGGCAGATCACGAGGTCAGGAGATCGAGACCATTCTAGCTAACACGGTGAAACTCCGTCGCTACTAAAAATACAAAAACAAAATTAGCTGGGAGTGGTGGCAGGCGCCTGTAGTCCCAGCTACTCAGGAGGCTGAGGCAGGAGAATGGCGTGAACCCGGCAGGCGGAGCTTGCAGTGAGCCGAGATCGCGCCACTGCACTCCAGCCTGGGCGACAGAGCGAGACTCCATCTCAAAAAAAAAAAAGAAGAAAAACAAAATGGCTGTCTTTATTCCGATAATATCCTTTGCTCTGAAATCTAGCTTTATGATATTTATATAGCCACTCTAGCTTTGATATAATTAGTGTTAGAGTGCTCTTCTTTTCCATCCTTTTAACCAATTTCTGTCTTTCTTTGTATTTCAAGTGGATTTTATTAAGACCACAAATGCCCGTGTCTTGCTTTTTGAGCCAAACTGATAGTCTTTTAATTGGGCTATGTAAACCATTTAATTTTAAGTGATTATTAATAAGGCTGTGTTTTAAATCTACCATCTTGTCTTCTATTTATTCACTTATTCTTGTCCCTTTGTTTTCCTGCCTGTTTTTTGGCTTTGTGTATGTCAACAGTCTCTATCTACAGTCTAGGTTTACGGCTTGGAAAATGGAATTGTGATCTAAAATGATTATCTGTATTATGATTATTCCATTGTTAAAAACAATAATCAGCCGGGCGCGGTGGCTCACGCCTGTAATCCCAGCACTTTGCGGAGGCTGAGGTGGGCAGATCACAAGGTCAGGAGATCGAGACCATCCTGGCTAACACGGTGAAACCCCGTCTCTACTAAAAATACAAAAAATTAGCCGGGCGTGGTGGCGGGCGCCTGTAGTCCCAGCTATTCGGGAGGCTGAGGCAGGAGAACGGCGTGAACCCGGGAGGCAGAGCTTGCAGTGAGCCGAGATGGCACCACTGGACTCCAGCCTGGGTGACAGAGTGACACTCCATCCAAAATAATAATAATAATAATAATCAAGCACTTGGATTCTAAAGAATCATCCAGAAATAAAATATTAGATTTCCCAGGTTAAAAAAAAAAAAAAAAAAAGTCTGAGTGCCCTCTATGTGCAGCCTGGAAAGGAATTAAGACTGCAGAGTAAAAACATAGATGTTACAGATACGGATATAGACATAGATATAGATATGGATATAATTTTGACATTTGGATCCCAAGGCTGAAGTGTATGCAAGACTATGCCCCCAAAATCTTTCCAGTTTATTTCCTAACATAGCATTACTTTCTCAGAAACATTGTTTTGATTTTAGTATGTGATAAGTCATACTGAATTTTTACCTTTTCCCATCCATATTTTTCTTTTTACATAGAGATTGCACCCTGTCCTCCCTATGTCTTCTGGGAGGCAATCTTACAAAGTTGTAATTTGGAAAAACAATTACTGATGTTTTTTGTAGATTTTGCCTTACTCTGAAATAAATAATCAGAACAACTAAATTGAAAATGGGTTGGAAGAGAACCCATTGAAACCCAGTGGAACGAGGCAGTATTATACTATTATTAGAGCCAAAGCCATTTGGGTTGCCAGAAATCATAGTAAATACAGTGTTAATGAACCACTTCACATTAGTTATCTACTTCTATTAGGGGCTGAACGTCCACTGGGAGCTGGAATCTGTATGCAGAAAAGTAGATGCTATTAAGCCACTAGTACATGCTGCTCAGTAGCTGAGAGGGTCAGGGATTACAAAGCCTTTTGTGGGTGGGCTAGGCTGTGTTCCGTCCACCATGATGATTTCTGCAGCCCACTTAGTTTGGAAAAGCTTCCCGATATTATATCTATCTCCATGATGATGGTAATATGATGCTAACTCTCAAAATGGAGTTCATGGGAGGGGAGAGAGAGAAAGAAAAATAATAATAAATAAGTCATAGATGATGCCACAGAAAATGAAAGGACAGCCCATGAACTGAGTATACAGGTATCCCCAAGGATCGAAATTAGGCATATCTACATTATGTTATCAGATACATTTTCCATGTTGAAATTAATAATAACCATATCATTATTTATGTTTCCAGATTTAATGGATAATTAATCTGTTAGGGAACTCAGATTGCTCCCTCAATGAATTCCTATTATTTCTGCATCTGAAGGTCACACACAATAGAATAATTATTACAAGAATGTTTCTTTCATTGCATTGTTTTCTAGAAACACTGGACAACACTACATGTGCCACAGCCACTTAAGAAAATGCCACCATGAGCACCACGTTTGTTTATTTTTTAATTTTGAAAAACATCAACTAAGATCCCTGGCCATCATGATTCATGAAACATGCAATAAGTTGTTTTGAGAAAGATTGAAAAATAGAAAATGCATGCTCCCAGCAGGCAAAACATTGCTGACATTTTAAATAATAATAAAACCGAAGACCTCAATCCATTTTGCATGTCAAAGAATAGACATTTAATTTGTTTAGGTTATTTGGTTTAGTTTTGTGTTTCTTATGGAATAAGCTCAAGGATATTAAAAGTAAATTAAAAATGTAGATGATTGTAGAAAGCCAAGTAACTGATAGTTGGTTTTCCAACCAGAATAAAATGTAAAAGAGATTTATGCAACATGTGACTTCTCCTTTGTTTCATCGATACAGCTTTATTTCACTTTCAGAAAGCAGAAAAGAAAAAGAAATAATAGCCAACTTGTACTTATATGATCTATATCCCTCTGGCTTTCTATAGAATTAAGAACTCTATCCCTTTTTCTTGCCCTAAAAGGTAAGGTTTAACTAATTGTACTATTTTTAAATTTTCCCTAAGAGAAATGTCATCAAACTGAACTACATTTACATGCATGGAGGTTATCTAATATGTTATAAAATCTCTCTCCCATAGAACGAGGTAGAGATAGGACTATGATTCAAAGTAAAATACAGTTCCACACTTTAGGTTTTAGAGTTCACACAATATTTTATTCTTGAAGTTCAGTTACATGAACTTGATGTAACTGAAATACATGAACTTCAGTTAGTATAAAAATTATTCAATTTAAGGGAATTTTAAACAAACCTTACAATACACTTAAAAAGAATATGCTTGCATTAATATTTAGTTTGTAATTAGTCATTCTGTAAGCAAAATATTCCTTTTCATGATTAGACATTTTGTATTGTTAGGTGGGCAAGTCTTCTATAGACTTTCATATTTTAATTAATGCCTTAATCCTTTCTTATTTAAGGAAAGACAAGTGGGGGAAGAGAGAGAGAGGGAGAGAGATTGAAGCTTAAAATATTTTTGGAATAAATCCGAAGCATGAGTTTCTTTGAAAAGAAAAATCATTTATTTTAAAATCTGAGATAATTGAGAGAGAACTAAGTTTTAAAAGAGCTTATACCTCATAGACAAATATACTGTAACACATGGATTGTCTTGAAATATCCTATAATGATCAGATATTTAGATATCACTTAGAATTTCTTAAGTAAAATAAACCTTTTCAAAAATTGTTAGTCTAGAATAATTGTTTAACCAATAAATGTAAAATAAATAGTGTGCCATCATAAGCTATATAGCTTAAATGTTCTGGCTATTATAAAACATAGATGTTTAAATGAATTAATAAAGTAATGAGTGCATGTCCGCACATAAGAAGTGCAAGCCTGAGTTTTTGACAGAATCCATGCTGATTTTCCAACATGTGATAGCAGTGACTCAGATTGAGTTGTGGGCACATTTCCTGAGCTTGTCAACAGAGAGCTCTGAAGATCCCACAGGTTGAGGGTTTAGTGTTACAAGACTGCCCCCACATCGGATGCCAACGAAAAGTCCCAGGTTGTGACCTATACCTCTAACTGACCAGCTGTAAGTCAAGGTTCCCATGACCCTCTCTTTGGGTTTGATTAATTTGCTTGAGTTCAGGGAAACATTTTATTTATTGTTACTCATTTCTTAAAAAGACTGTTAGAGAAGATACAGATGGACAGACAGATGGAAGAGATGTGTAGGGCAAGGTATGGGAGAAAGGGTGTGGGGCTTATTTGGCCTCCTTGGGAATGCCACCCTCTAGATACCTCCATGTGTTCAGCTATCCAGAAGCTCTATGGACCTGTCCCTTTTGGGGTTTTATGAAGGATTCATTAAGTAGATATGAACTAAAAATAAAATTCTAAGCCTCACTATTGACTGAATAGACGCCACCCCCCCACCTTGGCCAAGGGGATGCCTAAGAAACCTGAAAAACTATTTCAGGGATGACAATAAGAGAGGTGGAACATGCTTCATCACACCCTCCTCCCCTTGGAGTTTAGGCACAACTGACCAGCATTAACATTAAAATAGAGATCAGCGATTTTAAGACTGACAATCGACTCTTTGTAGCAATAAGATACCTAATTCCAACCTGACCATGGTTTAGCATCACGTGACAGCAGGCCCTGAAGGAAATCAAAGTATTTTACCCCAAAATGTATTTCTTTGACATATTTTGAAATGACCCTGCAAAGCCATCTCTTATGGGGGAAGTTTGCATTTTGTAGAGAATCCCCTTCCTTTCCAGGTCATTACCTGATCCAGGAGAGATTTAGCTAAGTCTGACACTTTTTAAAGTCCTGTAAGAGACTTTTACCATCTATTTCCTCTGAAGCCTGCTACCTGGGAGCTTCATTTACATAAAAAGAATCTTGGCTTGCCCAACACCCCTTATCTTAACACATAATTTTTTTAATGCTGATTTCAACTTCTCAGGTTAAGGCAAAGCTTAACTCTTTCAACCAATTGCCAATCAAAAGATCTTTGATTCTCTGCACTTCAAGTTATCTCACTTTTCAAGGCCGAACCAGTGTATCCCTTTTGTGTCTTAACCTGTGACTTCTGTCTTCCTAAGATGTATAAAACCAAGCTACAACCCAACCATCTTGGGCACATATTCTCAGGAACTCTTCAGTCTGTAAGATGGACCATAATCACTCATATTTGGCTCACAATAAACCTCTTAAAATATTTTGCAGAATTTGGCTTCTTTTTTGTCAACATAAGCATAATAGATTAAATCATTGGCCATTGGTGAGGAGCTCAACCTTCAGCCCCTCTCCTTTCCATGGAGGTCAGGATTACGACTGAAACTTCCAGCCCTCTAATTATATGATTGGTTTCTCTGGCAACCAGACTCCAATTCAAGGCTATCCAGAAGCCCCAGCCTTCAGTCATCTCATTAGCATACAAAAAGACACTTATCCCTTTGGATAACAAGGGTTTTAGTAGTTACATGCCAGAAAATGGGAACAAAATACAAATATATATATACACATACACACAGCCAACCATGGGATTCTTCCTGCCCACTGCATAAAGAAAGACCATGGCATTGTTATAGAGAAAGAGTTTAATAAGCACTAGGCCAGCCAAACCACATGGAAGATGGAGTTCATACTCAAATAATCTAATTGAAAGCTCATAGGTTAGGGGTTTTTCAATGGCAGTTTAGGGGAAGGGGTGGAGGTAGTCAGGTAACAGGTGCTTGCTGCTAATTGGTTGGGGTGGAGATGAACTCATGGTGGGGGGTGGTCAGAGCTCTCCTGAGGGCTGAATTGCTTCTGGCTGGGGCCACTGGAGCTGGACTGGCAGTCAAGGTGGAGCCATGGGTGTCAAACTTGCAAAAACCTGGAAAGATATCTCAAAAGGCCCATATACAATAGTGATGTTATTTGAAGGAGTAATTGGGGAAGTTGTATATCGCAGAACCTCAGGAGTAAATGACTGACCATCATTTATGTCTGTGCTTTAGCAGGACTCAGGTTCACCTCCTTCCCCCAGCCTACTGGCCTCCCATTAGCTTTACAAAAGTGGTTGAGTTTTGGGCAAGACCTATTATCATTTAAACTGTAGCCTAAATGTCTTACAAAGTTAGCCTGGCCCAATAGCCCAGGAATAATTAAAGGAAGGGCAAGATGGGGGTTGGGTTAGCTTAGCTTACTGTTAAAATTTTCTCACTGATATAACTTTTGGAAAGGTGGTATCATATGTATGTATATGTAAAAAATTATTAATTACAGAATCACAGGGCTCATTGCTTGTTCTATAAATAACATTTAGATCTTAATCATGAATCTGGACTGTTCATTATTACATTGATTTAAAATGAGGAACTAGCTGTCATTTGTCTTGTGAAATCTGGTAAAGCTTTAATTTGTTTTTCATTGTATATATTTAAGGTATACAGCCTAATGATTTGATGTACATACACATTGTGAAAAAATCACCACAAACAAGATAATTAACATGTCCATGTTTGAAATGCTTGTTCTCTGGTGCCATAAAGAAATAGCACTTGAACATAAATTTAATTTCCTCAGCAAGGCCATTTTTATACTTTCTGCAGAAAGGGTACACTCACCAGCAGTTTTGCCATGAGAGTACACTGAACAAAGGAGACAGGGTAATCTATAACTTGACACATCATCCTACTGGTGTGTCCAGTTTCCATTGGCTGGAATAGGACCCCACATTCTGTATTTGTCCCAATTGGCTAGCAACTTAGAACTTTTTAAAAGAGACAAAGGCAGAGGAGAGCAAAGGAAGGAGGAAGTAACTTGTGGAATGCTGAGAAAGGCAATGAAACATCTTCAAATAAGGAAGAGGAACAGGCTATGACCAAATGCTTGCTTAGAACAGTATAAGCATGCCAAGGCAAATATTTAGGCTAAATTGTGGGAGCTAAGAACATAAAGTACATTGATTTCTTTATTATGGCTAGTAGATATTTAAGAATGTTAGCACAGGTCTTTGAATAAATTTTGTTTCTAAGAGATGTTACTATTTATTCCTAATTAGATGGGGAGGAAAGTTTTTGAAGAGGAACCTCTACTTTACTTTTGACATCCATCATTTCATACAGTTAACTTTTTTCTCGTGTTTGTGATGAGAACACTTACAATCAAGTCTCACATGCTACCTATAGTTAACATACTAAACTTTAGATCAGCAGAACATATTCATCTTGTATTAACTTTGTACCCCTTGACCAAAATCTCCCCATATTCCTTTCCGCCATCCCCCGTCATTCTACTCTCTGCTTCTATGAGTCTGACTGTTTTATATACTAGGTATAAGACAGAGAGGAGAAAGGAAGAAACCAGTTAGGCAGGCAGTTAGGGTGTGTCCTTGTTTGAATTATTTCAAGCAAAAGAACACCCTGCAGGGACAGATAAGGGAACTTGCACAGGAGGTGTTGCCTAAGACATGCCCACAGCTGCAAGATAAGAAGGGCCACACAGGTGACTTGCCCAGACATGCTCACAATGGAAAATTCTGTCTGACACATGTGCAGTAAGGGGAACAAAGCAATATGGAGTAACTCAAGCTACAGGCATTCATGCGCACTAGGAGGATGGGGTGGAGCTACCAGAAATTCACATCTTATGCAAATAAGATGCCCAGCCCCTCATTGGTTTCTTGTGAAAGCCTTCGCATTCAACTATAAAAAAAGCGTTTGCATTCATCTTGTGAAAGCCTTCTGGGCCCCCTCTCCACAGCAAAGAGCTTTGTTCTTTCGCTTGTTAAACTTTTGCTCCAACCTCACCCTTGGTGTTTATGCTCCTTAACCTTCTTGGTCATGAGACAAAGGACTCGGGGTGATACCTCAGGCAATGAGAGACTGCTACATTGTGGTGCATTGGTGAGACTGTAACATAAGTTAGATAATACAGCATTTGTCTTTCTGTGTATGGCTTATTTCATTTAGCATAATGATCTCCAGGTCCTTTTGTGTTGTTGCAAATGGCAACATTTTGTTATCTCTTTTGTTGTTGCAAATGGCAACAACACAAAAATAAAATAAAAAATAAAATAAAATGATATTTCCTTATATGCATATATCACATGTTATTTTCTTCTGGAGTTTTCTTTTCTTTTCTTTTTTAAGCACATTGTCTTGCTCTGTCACCTAGAATGCAGGAATCATGGCTCACTGCAGCCTCAACCTCTGGGCTCAAGTGATCCTTGCACCTCAGCCTCCCAAAGTGCTAGAATTTATACCATACTTTGTTTATCAATTCATCTATCCAGTGAACACTTCGGTGTTTCCATATTGCTAATGTGAATATCGCAATGAATATGACTGTGATTGTCTCTTCAAGACCCTGATTTCAGTTCCTTTGGATAAACATTCCGAAGTGAGATTGCTGATTCATATGAAAGTTCTATTTTTAATTTTTGAGGAATCTTCATATTTTTTCCATAATGGCTGAACCAGTTGACATTACTCCTAACATCATACAAGGCATCATTTTTATACACATCTTCACCAACACTTACCGCTTTTGTCTCTGATAAAATCCATTTTCAGAGGTGTAAGGTGATGTCTCATTGTGGTTTTGATTTGCATTTCCCTGATGATTAGTGATTTTGAACACCTTTTCATATACCTGTTTGTCCTTTTTATGTCTTCTTTTGAGAAGTGTCTATTGAGGTTAGGCCATTTTTAAATTGAGTTATTTGGTTTTTTGTTTGCTATTGAGTCATATGAATTCCTTAGATCATTTGAATATTAACTCTATCACATATGTGGTTTGCAAATATTTCCTCTCATTCTTTAAAGTTGATTTTCTCTCATGTTGATTATTTATTACACAAAATCATTTTAGTTTCTTGTGGTCTCATTTATTTCTTTTTGTTCTTGATTCCTTTGCTTTTGGTGTTATATCCAAAAAATCTCTTCTTCATTTATAATTTTATTATTTGAGTCTTTTCTCTTTTATCTTAGTCTAGCTAGAAGTTTGTTCACTTGGTTTATCTCATGACATTGAGCTGTGCTGTCTTGTGAGAGGGATGATGCAAGTAAACTGAAACTATTCTTGTTAGAGTAGGCAGACAGCTAGATATGAGTAGGAAGAGAAGCCCCTAAAAAGAGGAGGTCTGGAAAATGTCACACCCCAGACAGTATCAGAAATATTCATGCTAGATATGAGCAGAGAGGAAGGGACATATCTATGCAGAAAAACTCACCCCCAAAATGCTCCTTAAGATGCCCAGTAATTGCTCTCTCTGCAGTTAACCTATCAGAATGCAGCTAGCTACATGCTGATAAGGAGAGAAAGAGGGCAAAGAAGAAATTCCTAAGAGATACGCAGGTGCAATAAGTACAGAATGAATGGCTATATGACCTTCCTGGGATGGCAGTAATGAGCAATGCCACCATTAGGCTGGACTTGTATCCAACATCAGGCCTGCACACGGGCATCAGCTGATAGTAAGGGAGAATCCCACAAATCTGGGGCAGTAACTAGATGGGGAAAAGGTGGGGACTAAAGGCTGAAGAATGAAACTAGACAAAGACAAAACAAAGACTTACGACAGAAGCAGGAGCTTAAAGAAAGAGTCCAATATAATAAAAACCACAATGTTGAACTTGGGGCTGCCAGCCCATTCTCTTTCAAGCAAACTACTCTCCCTCTTTAAATGAACTCTGCTACCACTAAAGCCTTTCTGCTAGTGTTTCTGCTCCCAGTCGGGTCAGCCCACTCCTCTCTGGGATCGTCTATCCTTCAATAAACTCTCCGCTCTTTATTTTCCTTCGATAAACCTTTGTTTACTTTACTAATTGTCTCTTGGCCAAATTCTTTCTCACAAGACAAGAACCAAGAACTCCTACACCCCTCGGTGACATTCTTATTTCTCCTCAAAGTGTATTGTGGCCACATGTAGTGGCTCATGCCTATAATCCAGGTACTTTGGGAGGCTGAGGTGGGCAGATTGTTTGAGCTCAGGAGTTC
The DNA here is from genome assembly GCF_000001405.40 of Homo sapiens. Taxonomy (NCBI): domain Eukaryota; kingdom Metazoa; phylum Chordata; class Mammalia; order Primates; family Hominidae; genus Homo; species Homo sapiens. The sequence goes on along the minus strand of NC_000010.11, from coordinate 107,583,247 downwards.
AAAACCAGCCTGGGAACATGGCGAAAGCCTGTCTCTACAAAAAAATACAAAAATTAGCCAGGCAAGGTGCTGCATGCCTGTAGTCCCAGCCACTTGCAGGGGGCTGAGGTGGGAGGATCACTTGAGCCCAGGAGGTCAAGGTTACAGTGAGCCGAGATCGTGCCACTGCACTCCAGCCTAGGTGACAAAGTGAGACCCTGTCTTTAAAAAAAAAAAAAAAGTGTCTCTTGTTCAAGTTTTTGCTAAAATAGAGTGCTATCTTCTGGACTCCTGGGTTCCTAAAGGGGTATTCCTGCCCATCGGTGTTTGTGAATATCTGTTTCTTTGGGGCTAAAATGGTCTTATTCTACCATCTTGCTAATGTCACTATTCAGTAAAAGCAATATAATTTCTTGAGTATTTCTATATGTTGTAAATTTCCATAGGTCTTCTCTGTGGCATTTTTCCACCTCTAATCTCCTTGCTCCTCTCTGAACTCCTGGTTCTACTTCTCCCTTTATTGGAGACATTGGAAAAATTTCATTTTCCTGTCAAAAGTATGGTAATTTATGAAAGACAGATTCAATACACACCTTAAGTTATAGAAATTAAACGAAATAATGTATGTCTAGTCCTAAAAATAAGACCAGGTATACAGGAACTTGACAATACAGCTGTAATTATTATTACCAATATAGTATAATACTCTCTGAAAATTATACTTTTTAAAGAGGATAAATGAGTTAACGGTGTAAATGAATCTGTCTCAGTGTGTTCATCAATCAGATGCATACTCTCTTTAGATAATGAAATGCCTAATCTAAGAATGATACCTTATAACCACCTTTTGTAAAAGATATTTTGGCATTGTAAGAATTGTTATTTATATTAAAAGTCATCTCTTACGGCTGGCTATTTTTCTGTTTTATATGTTAAAAAATAATAAGACATCATAATAGAGAGAAGCAGTAAATTTTGACTTAAGCACCTCCAAATAGCCCTGGAAAATGCAAAATCTACAGTGATATATTTTAAAGAATAAATAATAATGTACAAAACACAACTGATGTGACCCAAGATTAGAAAAAATTCATTTTTTTCTTTATTTTGAGAACATGATTTTATAAGCAAAAGTCTACTAAAGGGAGTTCTAATTCTTGTAATAAAGGTGTTGATTTTATTAGCATAACCCTTCCATAAACAATAAATGTACACAATGATAAATATGTTTTTAAAATCTATTTGAAGGCATGAGCAGGCAAGAAAAAGTTAGCAAAATCTGGAAAGAAGTTGAACCTTAAAGAAATTATAATGGAGATTATTCAGATTGACACAACAGTTTACCTTGGGTATCCTCTCTGGCTCAGGGCATAGAGTGATTAGAACACAAAACAAGAGTCCTACTGGGTTGAGACATTAGAGGACTGAGTCTGGGGCCAACAGATATACTAAAAATTAAATAAAGTCCCAGAAAACAGAAAGACTTTGAGGAAGAAGCCTGCAAATTTATTTATAAACTCAGCCTGTCTCCATGTCTGACATTGAGATGTTTTTACAAGGAAGAAATTCCAAGGGGTCAGGTGGGATGCTATAAGAACACAGGATGAGGGAATTAAGCAGAAGTTTTAGCAGTTTCCTACTACAGGAGCAGTAGAGTTTGCAGTTCAAAACTAGACAAGTCAGCTGCCTACCATAAGACAATTTAACATTCTTTAGAGGAAGACAATTGAGACATCCAGAATCACTAGTGTATAGAATACACAGTATTTGATATGCAATAAAAGAATTACTAAACATGCAGGGAACAGAAAAATGTGACTCAAAGCCTAAAGGGGAAGAAAAGTCAATACAAACTGATCTTAAGATATCCTAGGTGTTGGCATTTGCAGAAAAAGATTTTCGAGCACATATAATAAAAACATCTAAGGACATATACAAGAGAGACAAAGAAAATATGTTTATTATGCAAAAATAAATATGGTATCTCAATGTATAAATGGAACTGGAAAAGTGGAAATAGTAGAACTGTAGAGTTTATCTGACACATAAAATAAGTTTTTGAGCTCTACTATGCAACATAGTACCTATAGCTAGCACTACTGTATTGTATACTTAAAACTTGCTAAGACAGTAGATGTTATGTAAAGGGTTTTTAATCAATAGTGTTAATTATGATGATTATACAAGCAGAAGGAAACTTTTTAAATTGATGGAGATGTCTATGGCCTTGATAGTGGTGATGATTTCATGGTGCATATTTATCTCTAAATTAATCTAATGTAAGCATTAGATATGCATAGCTTTTTACAAGTCAGTCATACCTCCACAAAGTGATGTTACCAAAAAAACAGAAGCCTTGATATGTGTGGGTTAGTATAAGCCAGCGTATTTCCTATTTCTCTTCTTTGACAGGACCTAGAAGTAATGACACCACAGTAGCAATGAACATAACTAGAATCCAGATCTTGATTTCTAAATATCATTCTTCAATAAAAGGGATCAGAGATCCTTGGAGAAATGGCTCATTCTAGAGCTGGAGGAGGGAAAACACAATAAGCCTGCAATATCTTGTGGGACCAAAAAAGTAAATGGATGCTTTAGGTAAAAGAAAGGATAGAGGTATGTCAGAATGATAAAGCTCCATCATATAAACAATAAAATGAATAATAATAGTTGATTACAACACATGAAATAAATACGTATGCATCAAAATTTGTATAAACAAATGATTGAATAAATACATAAATGGTGGACAAAGAATATTTTTCTTTTATAAGAATTCCAAATAATTTGTAGAAAAAATAAAATCTCCATTGAAATGCCTCAGTAATAACTACTTCAGGCAAGATCCACTGAGAAATGGTAAAATTAATGGGCATATTTTCAGATATAGATTATTTGCATAGCTTGGATATATCTCTGACAAAATATTGGTTTCTTTGGTGGCTTTAACCTATTTACAAATTATTTGATATTTTTCTCTCCAGAAAGTGAAGCTTAATTCCTTTTCCCTTGAGTATTGGTCAGATTAAGTGACTCATTTCTATTCAATATAATACAGGAAGGGAAAATATTACTTAAAGAAACTAAGGAGAAATTGGGCAGAGGCCAAATGGAAAGGATTTCAAATGACCAAAGTTGGAACACTATAATAACAAAACACACACACAATTACACGGTCCCACTATAGACTGTCTGCAAGCTGAGGACATGTCATACGTATGTGTGTATAATGCACTGATTTGATGCAATGAGAAGGGTTCATTGAGACTTCTCTTCTGTGATCATTTTTTTTTTTTTAATTGAGTTGGAGTCTTGCTCTGTCACCCAGGCTGGAGTGTAATGGCGCGATCTCAGCTCACTGCCAGCTCCACCTCCTAGGTTCATGTGATTCTCCTGCCTCAGTCTCCCAAGTAGCTGGGACTACAGGGGCCCACCACCACACCTGGCTAATTTTTGTATTTTCAGTAGAGACGGGGTTTCACCATATTGGGCAGGCTGGTCTCCAACTCCTGACATTTTGTTCCGCCCTCCTCAGCCTCCCAAAGAGCTGGGATTACAGGCATGAGCCACCGCACCCGGCCCTATGTGATCTTTTCTAAAAGTATACATCACCCCAATCTAATCATGAGATATCTTCAGATATCTACATTGAAAGACACTCCAGGAAACTCTTAGTACTCTTAAAAAGTGTCAAGATCCTAAAAGACAAGGAAAAACTTAGAAATCATCCCGGATTGAGAAAGTTCATGTGGTCGTGATAATTCAATGCAATGTGGAATCCTAGATTGAATTTTAGAATAGAAAAAGGCCGTTAGTGGCAAAACTGTTGAAATCCAAATAATTTATAGTTTTAGCTTGGTATCAATGTTAAATTCTTGGTTTTGATACATGCACTATGGTTACATAAGATGTTAACAGTAAGCTGGGTAAAAGATGTAGAGGAACTTACTATCTGTAACTCTCTGTTATTTAACTTATCTAAAATAATTTAAAATAAAAGTTAAATGAAGAAAGTTACTTTCCCAAAAGAACTTTTAGAACTAAGTGATCTTCTATGAGTCCTTCTCTCTAAACCCTTACTCTGACAGAGTTTGCTAGCATTTTGTTCAATATTTTTACACATATATTCTTCAGGGTTATTGGCCTGTAATTTTATTCTAGTGTCACTGTCTGACTTTGGTATCAGGTTTATGTCAGCCTCAAAAAATGAGTTTGGAAGTGTTCCTTCCTCTTTCAATTTTTTGGAAGAGTTGGAGAAGAACTGATGTTAATTCTATTTTAGATATTTGGTAGAATTCACTAGTGAAGCCATATCCTGGTATTAGTCAGGCTTCTCTAGAGGCACAGCACTAATAGGAGATATATATACATATCTCCCATATATATATGGGAGTTTATTAAGGAGTATTAAACTTACACAATTACAAGGTCCCACAATAGGCTGTCTGCAAGCTGGGGAGCAAGGAAGCCAGTCCAAGTCCCAAAGCTGAAGAACTTGAAGTCCAATGTTTGAAGGCAGGAAACATCCAGCATGGGAGACGTAGGCTGGGAGACTAAGCCAGTCTAGTGTTTTCACATTCTTCTGCCTTTTATCCTAACTTAGCTGGCAGCTGATTAGATTTTGCCCACCTAGATTAAGGGTGGGTCTACCTTTCCCAGCCCACTGACTCAAATGTTAATCTCCTTTGGCAACGCTCTCACAGACACACCCAGGATTAATACTTTGCATCCTTCAGTCCAATCAAATTGACACGCGGTATTAACCATCACACCTGTTAAGTTAATAATAACAAATTACACACTGGGACTTTTGGTTGTGTATAGCCACATTATACATTTGTTCTCAAAGTAGAGTCTATTTCACATGCTTTCTAATGTAATTCAGTGTTTCTTAACTATAGCACTATTGAAATTTTGGAATTGATCATTGTTTGTTGTGGGAGGCTGTGCTGTGCACTGTACGATGTTCAGCAGCATCCTTGGTTTCTCCCAAGTGGATGCCAGTAGCATCTCTCCTCCACACTTGTGACAACTCAAAATACCTCCAGACATTGTTTTTCTTGCTAGCAGAGAGAATGTTAAATTGTGGACTTTAAAAAGTTATATAAATGCATAAGTAGATAATTTAAAAACTTTACAAACACAAAACTAGTGAGCTGTCCATTATTACAATTATTTTTCCCCCCTAAGTGCTTTCACAATATGGACCTCATAACAGGGATGCAGGTATCAAGTAGGGGATGGTCTCTATGCTGTAGAAAGCTACATGACTATTGTAACTAGGATCTTTTAGGATTCTGCTATGTTTGAGCACTCGATTTTTCTACTCTTTATACTCTCTTTTCAGATCATTTCACTCAGACTGCACTCCTGTTACATTATGTATGTTTTAGTTACATTGCATTTTAAAATTTGCAGATTTCCCAGACCTGTGGTGGAAACCCCTCTTTCCTAGAGGCTAATTGAAAAAAATTTTATTCCTGAATAGTAGCTGATTATGGGGTTTTGGTGGGGAATATACCGTGGAAGCAATGTCATAATCAATGAAACTTAAATTATTAAATGCTTCTGAACTGTTGCACCAAAGTGCCTTGCAAATGTTATGAATTGTGACACGTGTACATTCTCTTCTTTGTGGATGCGTTGAAAGAGCAAACCAAGATCAATAACTGCAGTATCTTTAGGGCTTTCTAGTGCCTAGAGTACCTTTGTTCTGGGGACACAATCATACCAGTTTAAATTCTTTTTCTGGTGAAAGTATTCTGTTATTGAAAGACATCCCCAGAGCAGCAGCATCTGTCACTACAGAAGAGCATCTTGGTTTTAAAAATAGCACCTGCTGAAGCTTTCTTAATCTGCCATGAAATAATTGTGTGCCATTTGGGCATTTGCCTGTTCGCTTAATCTCTTATGCACATATTGCTCGACAGAAACATAATTTACTGTGTTCATTTTTTCTTAATTTAAAAATATTATCACCTCTTGAGAATGAACAGAAATAACAATTAGTGGAAAATAATGGTTGCAGAATGCTAAAAGATTTGCAATGGAGACTGCAGTTGTGTGTCAAAAATTGCCACAATACTTTGCAGTACCCCTTATTAAAACAAGGGGTTTAAATCTTCCACACTTTTTACTGTGCTGTGGCATTTTGACTTGCCTATGGCAAAAGTGACCTTGTTCTGGTTCTGAACCCAGGATTCATGATATTTTGCAGCTTTGGCTATTGCTGCTTTTGCATTCCTGCAGTGTGTGAGGAAGCTGAAGCTTACAGGCCCATATCTTTGCCACATCTGACAACCTGCCAAATGCCAGACTTGGGAATGAGTTCATCCTAGGTTATCCAACTGCCAGCCAATCCGTCAGCTACTGCCAGCTGACTGCAGACTCATAATGAGCCCAGCTGAGTTCAACCAGAGGAACTGCCCAATGGACCCCCATAATTGTGAGCTAAAAATGTTTGTTGTTTTAAGCTACCAACTTTGAGTATGGTTTGCTACATAGCAAAACGTAATGGGTAAGGAAATTGCTTCATGGAAGCAAGGTGATACAGTAATAAACTTAGATCTTGCACCTATTTTCTAACTCATCTTCTAGAATGTAAATTTTAAAGCGGCCATCTCATTTTTCTCACTCCTAATACCTGGAACGGTGCATGGGAAAGAGTTAATGAATTCAAGGTAGTGACAAATAATACTAGCATGACACTGTTACAATTTTACAAGATTCTATCCTCCCTCCGTATCCAAGTCAAATCAGAAGCTCTCAATGGTAGGTGCAGTTTGAATCTTCCTCTCATCCCTGAGATACACAATGCTGCACAAGGAATTGTGTCAAGCAGAATTTTCTCAGGCTCTCTCGCTCTCCCCTCTCACTTTCCTCCTAACTCTCCTCCTTCTCCCTCTCTCCGTGCCCTCCACCCCCGCTGTCTCCTTCTCCCTTCCCCTCTCTCTGTCTATAAAGTAGAATTTAACATGCAGTGCAGCTGACCTCAATTAGCCAAAGGCAACTTGTTACAAGTGATTTTATTTCAGAGTTGGGTTGCTGTCATCTCTTATATCGAAAGGTATTAGTCTTTGTAATAGAGAAAAGGGTTTTCCCACAGATGAAAGTATGATGGTAATATAAGACACACAGCTCTCAATCGTGATTTAAAATAACTGTGTTTATGAACAAGAATAATATTATGCCCACTTCAGGGGCTAAACTGTTCTTGAGTGGGCTGTGGTTTGGAGAAAGAGAGAAGATAGACAAAACAATTCCTTGATTAGGTTTGGCAGAAAGGAAACAATTGTCCTAACACATGCATGAAAGGCAACAGCAATCTTATAAACTATATAAACACAGACAACCCTGAGAAGTCTCAAGCTGACATCAGATAGCGAATGTCATTGTATACTCAGGGGAATAAAAACAAAGCAAATCCAAATAAAAACAACCTACAATCTATATCAATAGGGAAACAGTATAACTTAGATCTTAACAAAATACTGAATTTCTTGAATGTTATTAATTCTGTGCCACTGTTAACTAATTTATATTATAGATAGAATGTTTATATATAAGAAAGGGAATAATTCATGTTTGATTTAATTAATACATTGACATGAGAGCATTACTTGAAGAGATTGGTTGATTAACTTCTACCATTTTCCTAGAAAAACATTTGAATTTCTAAATGTTTCTGATACTTGCTAATGCTGATAGTAAGTGCTACCTTTATATCACACTTATCTAAATTTTGATTAGCATGCATTAGAAATGAAGGAATTTAAAATCAAAACTCATTATTTTACTAATACAGCAAATACATGTGTAAGCAGATTTAGAAAAAGATCATCACTTGTTTTTTAGCCTATTCATTTAGCACTTGTTTTATGACTGATACTATTTAATCACGGTAAGGAGGGTAGGAAGAGGGGGAGCAATTGAGGAAGCAGAAAAAAAGAAGCCACTGAATTTCTCCTCCCATTTCTCAGCTGATTTCAGTACTAGCACCCCTAGCTGGTATTTAAATATATATTTTAATTTACATCAGTGCAATTAAATAAAAATAAAGTTCCTCAGTTGCAGTAACCACATTCAAAGGCTTAGTACCTACATGCAGGCAGTGCCTGCCAATTTAGACAATGCAGAAACAGAACACTTCCGTCATCTCAGAAAATTCTTTTGGACAGCACTGTTGTAGAATATGGTTTCTCCCATCTCAGATCCCATTCGAATGAGAAACTATACCACCATAATCAAATATAGATGCATTTTGTTTCATATAAAGATTTGAATCCATATTATTAATATAAATGAACATTTCCCAAGTCTTACATGATAATATGATTTGTAGTTTGTTAATATTTTGTAAATCTTCAATGACACGTTAGCAATTTATTTTGAATACAGTTAACAAATTAATTCACCAATGAAAACTACAATATTTTCTAAATTGAATGTGTTTTTAGTGATTGGTGCTGCTGTATCTTTAAAAGATTAGTCATCTAAGCACAAAATCCTTTTTTTTTCTTGAATTAGTTAACTTTCAATAAAATTACACTGAAGTTCCAGTTATTAAATTGTACTGTGTTAGGTCAATATTGTTTGGGGGATTTTTTTTAACAATTGTATTAATTATATTAAGATAAAATTTAGATATCATTACCCTTTTTAAATGTACAATTTAATGTTTTTAGTATATTCACAGAATTTTCAATTGTTATTCCAAACATTTTTATAACATTTTATCATCCCCCAAATAAATCTATTAGCAGTCTCTCTCTATTTCTCCCTATTTTAGAGACTGAAAACCAGTAATCTACACTCTGTATCTATTGGTTTGTCCATTCTGGACATTAATATAATAAATGGAATCATATAATGTCTTTTGTCACTGGCTTTTTTCATTGAGCATGTTTCAACGTTCATCCATGTTGCAGCATCCATCAGTATGCTGTTTCATTTTGTAGCTGAATAACACTCCATAGAATAAAGATAGCACATTTTTTCCTTTTTAAATAATTAATTGACTTTATTTTTGAGTAACTTTAGGTTTACAGAAAATTTGAGCATAAAGTGCAGAGTTCCCACATGCACCCCTCCCCTCCCTCCACAGTTTCTCCAATTATTAATATCTTGCATTAGTGTGATATATTTGTTACATTTGATGAGCCAATATTGACCTTGTTGACAGTACCAGTATTGACATTATTATTAACTAAAGTCCATAGGTTACATTAATTTTTTCTTTGTGTTGTATAATCTATGTGTTTTGAAAAAATGTATCTATCTGGTGTTACAGTATCATACAAAATAGTTCCTCTATCTTAAAAATCCCCTATGACCTAACTATGTATTTCTCCCTCCTCCATCCATGTCCATGGCAACCACTTATCTTTTTACTGTCCTATAGTTTTGGCTGTTCCAGAAGTACATACAGTTGGACTAATACAGAGTGTACCTTTTCAGATTGGCCCCTGTCTCTTACCAATATACATGTCTGATTACTCTGTGTTTTTTTTTTTTTTGTGGCTTGATGGCTCATTGCTTTTTATTGTTGAATAGTATTCCATCGTACAGATGTACCAAGGTGTTCATAAATTCACCTACTAAAGGACATCTTGGTTGCTTCCAGATTTTACTACTTATCAGTAAAGCTGCTATACACATTCATATGCAAATTTTTATGTCCACATAAATTTTCAACACATTTGGGTAAATACCAAGAGGAAGATTGCTAGATCATATGGACTGAGTATGTTTATTTTGTAAAATACTGCCAAATTAATGTTTAAAGTGGCTATACTAGTATGAATTTCCCACCAACAATGAATGAGAGCTCCTGTTGTTCTATATCTTCACCAGCATTTGGTGGTGTCCCTGCCTTGGCTTTTAGTGATCTAATAGGTGTGTAGTTGCACCTCATTTTCATTTGCAATTAATTCTCTAATTATATATAATGTTGAGCATCTTTTCATATGCTTATTTGACATCTATCTATCTTCTTTGGTAAACTGAGTTCAGATCTTTTGCCCGTTTTTCAATTTTGTTGTTTGCTTTCTTATCATTGTGTGGGTTTTTTTTTTTTTTTTTTTTTTGGCTTACCATTAAGTTTTAAGAGTTCTTTATTTATTTTGAATATTATTCCTTTATCAGATATGCATTTTGAAAATATTTTCTTCTAATCCGTGGTTTATCTTTTCACTATCTTAAAAGTGCCTTTCACAGATCAGAAGTTATATTACTAATGAAGTCCAACTTACTGCATTTTTAATATGGATCATGCTTTTGTTACTATATCTAAAAAGTCATCACCAAATTCAAGGTCATCTATATTTTCTTCTTTGTTATATTCTAGGAGTTGAATAGCTTCTTATTTTATATTTGGGTTTCTGATTTATTTTGAGTTGACTTTTGTGAAAGGTAGAAAGTCTGTACTTAGATTCATTTTTTTGAGTGTGGATGTCCAATTGTTCCAACATTACTTATTGAAAAGTCTGGTCTTTTTCTCTTGAAATGTCATTACTCCTTTGTCAAATATCTATTAGTCAATAGATACTAGACTGTATGGGTCTATTTCTGGGATCTCTACTCTGTTCCGCTGATGGATTTGTTGACCCCTTTACCAATGCCACACTGTCTTGATCACTGCAGCTTTATTGTAAGTCGTGAAGTTAGGTAGTGTCAGTCTTCTAATCATATGCCACATTTTAATCCATCATCAGCTCTTAGATACTGGATTGTTTGCATATTTTGGCTATTATGAATAATGCTGCTATGAACATTTGTGGGGACATTTTTATTTTATATAGACATGAAATATATAGATGCACATATTATATGCATATATGCATATACATATATATGGTATGCACACATATATATAAAATATACACACACACAAAATTCCTGGGTCACAGGGTAAGTCCGTTTAACATTTTGAGGAATTACCAAATTGTTTTTCAAAATAGCTGCACTATCTTACATTCCGGCAATGTATAGGGGTTCCAATTTCTCCCACTCCTCACCAAAACTTTTATTATCTTTTTAATTGTAGCCTTCTTAGTGGGCTCCAAGTGGTATCTCATTGTGATTTCGATTTCGATTTGCATTGGATTTGTCTATTCATTTTCTTAATGCTGTCTTTTGAAGAACAGAAGATTTAAATTTTGGTGAAGTTTAATTTATATTTTCTTTTGTTGCTTGTGATTTTGGTGTCAGATCTAAAAATCATCGCCAATGCAAGATCACAAAGATTTACCCTCATAATTTCCTTAACGTATTTTTTTTAATTTCCATAAGTTACCAGGGAACAGGTGGTGTTTGGTTACATGAGTCAGTTCTTTAGTGGTGGTTTGTGAGATTTTGGTGCACCCATCACCTGAGCAGTATACAGTGCACCCTATTTGTAGTCTCTTATCCCTGCCCCCTTCCCACCCTTACCCCTGAGTGCCTGAAGTACACTGTGTCATTCTTATGCCTTTGCATCCTCATAGCTTAGCTCTCACTTATGAGTGAGTACACACGATGTTTGGCTTTCCATTCCTGAGTTACTTCACTTAGAATAATAGTCTCCAATCTCATCCAGGTCGCTACAAATGCCATTAACTCATTCCTTTTTATGGCTGAGTAATATTCCATCATATATACATATGTATATATGTATATACATGAAAAACATATATGCATATATACATATATGTGTATACATATTAATACATATATGTATATATGTATATCACAGTTTCTTTATCCACTCATTGATTGATGGACATTTGGGTTGGTTCCATGTTTTTGCAATCGTGAATTGTGCTGCTATAAACATACGTGTGAGAGTACCTTTTTCATGTAATGACTTCTTTTCCTCCGGGTAGATATCCAGTAGTGGGATTGCTAGATCAAATGGTAGTTCTACTTTTAGGTCTCTAAGGAATCTCCTTAATGTATTTTAAGTTTTCAAGCCCTTACATTTAGTCCTATGATTCAATCTGAAATAATTTTTATGTATGGTTTAAGGAAGAAGGAAATTTAACTTCATTCTTTTGAATGTGATATCCAGTTATCCAGGTACAATTTGTTGAAAATACTATTCTTTCCCACAGAATTGTCTTGGCATCCTTGTTGAAAACCAACTGCCTATAAATTTAAAGACTTATTGATAGGTAATCAGATTTGTATGTCCATCTTTATGCCACTACCACACTGTTTCAAATACTGTACCTTTAAAATCAATTTTGAAATTGACAAATAATCTTCCAAATTTGTTCTACATTTTCAAGGTTGTTTTGAATCCCTTGCATCTTCGTATGAATTCTAGAACAACTTACCAATTTCTGTAAATATTTAACTAGAACATTGCTGGGTATTGCTATGAATTTATAGATCAATTGAAGGAGTAATGTAGAGTCAACAATATAAAGTCTCAATTCATGTATACTAAAGCATCTTTCTGATTGTGGTCATTTAAAATTTTTTCAACCATGTTTTGTACTTTTTAGTGTACAAATCCAGCACCTCCTTTACTAAATTTATTCATAAATTTTTATTCTCTTTGATGTTATTATAAGTAGACTTCTTTTTAAATCTCACTTCCAGGTTTTGAATTGCTAATGCATAGAAATACAATTGACTTTTGTACGTTGGCTTTCATACTGAAAACTTGGTAATTACTTATCATTATACTTTTGTGTGTGCATATGTGTGCGTGTGTGCATATATGTGTGCATGCATGTGGTTTCCTTGGAATTTTTTATATACAATATAATATTATCTGAGAGTATAAATAATTTTACTTCTTTCTTTCTATACTGGATGTATTCATTTTCTTTTCTTGCCTAATTGCCCTACAATCCCCAGTAAAATGTTGAATAGAAACAGTGGGTCCAGAAAGACTTGTTTTGACTGAGATCTTAGAGGAAGAGTATTCGGTGTTATTCCATTGGATATGATGTTAGCACTGAAATTTTCATAGACATCCTTTATCTTATTGAGAAGTTTCCCTCTTTTAGAGACGTTTAGAGCTACCAACTACCCTCCATGCACTTCTTATCTACATCCTATAAGTTTGACATGTGATTTTGTTTTTATTCATCTGAAACTATTTTCTAATTAACTGTGTTTTTCTTTAACTTATTGATTAGGAGAATATTTTTTAAAAATTCTTTATATTTGTAATTTACCAAATTTTACTTTCCTTTTGACTCTTAATTTTATTTCATTGTGGTCATATACTATATTTTGTATGATTTCTAACTATTTTACATTTATGGATGCCTCTTTGTGGCCTCACATGTAGTCTTCCCTGGCAGTTGTTCCGTGTACATTGAGAAGATTCTGTGTTTTGTTGTTGTTAGGTGAATTTTTCTGTAGTTGTCTGTTATATCTAGTGGACTTACCTGGGGGCTCAGGTTTTCTATTTCCTTTTTAGCCTTCTGCCTAGTTGTTCTTTATGTCATTTAAAAATCTAGATTTCTGACCTTTTACTCCAACATGTAAAGAAGTGATTGCTGTCATCCTACAATAAGAAAAATACTGAACACACTGAAAATCAGCAACTGATTAGATCCATCAGAGAACTGAAGTCACAGGACAAAATAATTTCCTGAAAATGGAAGAACTAGGCAAACACAGACAAATTATAGTTTACCAGGATCTAAAGATGCTGGAGCCAGAAACCGTTAGAAAAAAAAAAAAAAAAAACCATAACTGACAAATTTCTAAAGAATGACTGTCAAGTAGCTTGAGAGTTAAAAAATCCTGGGACCTAATCTCAGGGGACTTATTCTCAAAGTGAAGATCAGAAAACAATCCTCTTACGCTTCTAGCAGGGAGATACTAAAAGTAACCATTTTGAAATATTCCTACAGAGTTTTCTTCTCACCTTCTTTCAAAGGAAACTACTTTATCAGAACCTAATTGATATGCAGGGAGGGTAATATTTGACTCCACACTCTAGCCTTTCACGCTCACTTAGGGTGAGACATTTGTGATGGTCACAAGCTGGGGACAGAGGGACAGAAGCTCACTGAAAGACTGAGAATAATTGTAAGACTGTAGAACCATTTTTTTTTCCCCCTGATAAGGTTTGGCTGTGTCCTCACTCAAATCTCATCTTAAATTGTACGTCCCACAATTCCCATGTGTTGTGGGAGGAACCCGGTAGGAGGTGATTGATTTATGGGGCCATATCTTTCCTGCACTGTTCTTGTAGTAACGAATGAGTCTCAAGAGATCTGATGGTTTTAAAAAGTGGAGTTTCCTTGCCCAAGCTCTCTTCTCTTGTCTGCTGCCATGTGAGACATGATTTCACCTTCCGCCATGATTGTGAGGCCTCCCCAGCCACGTGGAACTGTAAGTCCAATAAAACTCTTTCTTTTGTAAATTGCCCAGTCTCAGGTGTGCCTTTACCTGCAGCATGAAAATGGACTAATACAGTAAATTGGTACCAAGAGAGTGGTGTGCTGCTGAAAAGATACCCAAAAATGTGGAATTGACTTCGGAACTGGGTAACAGGTTGAGGTTGAAACAGTTTGGAGGGCTCAGACGATGACAGGAAAATGTGGGAAAGTTTTGAACTTCCTAGAGACTTGTGAAATGGCTTTGCCCAAAATGCTGAAAGCCATATGAACAATAAGGCCCAGGCTGAGGTGGTCTCAGATGGAGATGAGGAACTTGGGAACTGGAGCAAACATGACTATTGCTATGTTTTAGCAAGGAGACTGGTGACATTTTGGCCCTGCCTTAGATATTTGTGGAACTTTGAACTTAAGAGAGGTGATTTAGGGTATCTGGTGGAAGAAATTTCTAAGCAGCAAAGTATTCAAGAGGTGACTTGGGTGCTGTTAAAGGCATTCAGTTTTAAAAGGGAAGCAGAGCATAAAATTTGCAGCCTAAAAATGCAATAGAAAAGAAAATCCCATTTTCTGTGGTAAAATTCAAACCAGCTGCAGAAATTTATATAAATAATGAGGAGATGACTATTAATCCTCAACACAATGGGGAAAATGTCTCCAGAGAATGTCAGAGGTCTTTCTAGCAGTCCCATCACAGGCTCAGAGGCCTAGGAAGAAAGAGTGGTTTTTTGACCTGGGCCCAGGATACCCGTGCTGTGTGCAGCCTAGGGACTTGGTGCCCTGCATCATGGCCACTCCAGCTGTGGTTGAAAAGAAGCAATGTAGAGCTTGGAGCCTGGCTTCAGAGGGTGCAAGCCCCAAGCCTTGGCAGCTGCCACATGGTGTTGAGCCTGTGAGTGCACAGAAGTCAAAAACTGGGGTTTGGGCACCTCCTCCTAGATTTCAGAAGATATATGGAAATGCCAGGATGCCCATGCTGGTTTGCCACATGGGCAGAGCTTTCATGGAGAACCTCTGCTAGGGCAGTGCAGAAGGAAATGTGGGTTTGGAGGCCCCACACAAAGTCTGTACTGGGGCACGACCTAGTGCAGCTGTGAGAAGAGGGCCACTGTCCTCTGGACCCCAGAATGGTAGATCCAATGACAGCTTGCACTGTGTGCCTGGAAAAGTCACAGACATTCAACACCAGCCTGTGAAAGCAGCCAGGAGGGAGGCCGTACCCTACAGAGCCATGGAGCGGAGCTGCCCAAGACCATGGGAACCCACCTTTTGCATCAATGTGACCTATATCCAAGACATGGAGTCAAAGGAGATCATGTGAGAGCTTTAAAATTTGACTTCCCTGCTGGATTTGGGACTTGCATGGGACCTGCAGCCCCTTTGTTTTGGCCAATTTCTCCTGTTTAGAATGACTGTATTTACCCAATGTCTGTACCCCCATTGTACCTGGGAAGTAACTAACTTTCTTATGATTTTACAGGCTCATAGGTTGAAGGGTCTTCTTGCCTTGTCTCAAATGAGATGTTGGACTATGAACTTTCAAGTTAATACTGAAATGAGTTATGACTCTGGGGGGCTGCTGGAAAGGC